>NW_025791760.1:300000-431782 GCF_000001405.40 Homo sapiens | reverse complement strand
ATTACACCAACTTGCTAGCTCCACCCTTCTCTCTGTTGGGGGCCAGGGGCAGGGGTGGTGGGGAGTGATGGCTTTGCAACCCAAGCAGGAAGCAGAAAAGGAAGGGACAGGATTACTAGCAAACCAAAGGTCACCTAGAGTCCCTGGTACACTTGGACAACAATAAGCCCACACTGGTGGCTCTTTTCAGGAGGATGTATGAATGCTGCTTACCTAAATGCCAAGCCTTCACAGGCAGGTCTGAGTGTGCACCATGCCACGTGCTGCCTGGTTATGCATTTATATCAAGCATCACAACACACCCCATTGTTGACCCTATAGAGCATCTCAGGAACTACACTCAGATCTTACCATAAGTCACAGCAAACACAGTTAGGAAGGAAAACGTACTAGAGAGTAGTTGAGTAGATATACATCAAAGTGAAATAAACCACAGTTGTTCAGAAAGTCAGTTTGCAAAGTTAACGACAGACAAGTTCTGCCCAGGCTAGGCCTTGCCGCCTTGCCCCTCTGCACCTTGGCACCTGGGGCAACAGGAAGAGAGAGCAGCTGTAACTATCACCTCGTGGAAGCTTTGGTTTCCCCTTTTTGCAAAGCTCTGCTCTGAGAAAGATGTGCTTCCCAGGAAAAGAGAGAGGGTGATTTGGTTTGCAGGCATAGAGAATGTTTCCACAGCAAAAACTCATCAGCAGTATGTTGCAGTTTTTAAAGAGATTGCTTTCACTTGAGAAAGGTTTTTAAACCAATGGAAAGGTTACAGGAAGAAATACAGAACACTGGTGATGCTGAGGGCAACAGGAGAGCTTTCATTTTATTCATTCTTCATGTATTCATTCAAAAGTGCTTGATAAGTAGCTGCAATTTACTTGACTGTCAACCAAAATTGTGAGAATCCCAGTATGATTTCAAATTGCCCTTTTAGGAAATTAATTAGAAAAGTGATAACGAGTAACTTTTTGTCATCAGTTCTAAAAAGCCATTTGTGAATTTACTTTTATACAGGTTTTGTGACAGTAGGGCCACCAGACATTTTGTATTATACATGCCACTCCTGCCAACCATAGATGTGATATTTAGAGATGATTCTGTGCAGTTGCCAGAGAAAACATGACATATGCATAAACCCAAAGTCGTTTGCTAGTGTTGAGTTTAACTCTCTAGTTTAGAGATGATCAAGAGTTCATCTTATGTGGCAGCTCCATTGGCTGGGGTGCTGTGTTGAGACATCTCCTGAGGCCAATATGGATCAGTAGAAAAAGTGCCTTAGGATCTGGGCAAGAGGGATACTTGGCATCCTGGCTGTTCCATCTTGAGGGCTGCATCCCAGCATCCTTCAGGCCTACTGACCAGGAGCATTGTCCAGCTGTTCATTTTCTCCTAGGAAAGCATTCATGATGAGGTCTGGGCTCTTTTTTCCAGGGGCAGGTCTGAACTGGAGAGATGAGTCGCATGGCTAGAGCACGATACCCAAGTGCTGGGCCCAGACTGTCTGCCACTTCCCTCTCTGTTCCACACAGCCAGCAACAGAGCAAGCTTTTTCCTCCCAGCAGAGCGCCAGTGTCAGGCATGGTGGAGGCAAGGCCAAGCAACCCTGGGGGCGATAGAGGCAACCGGCTTTGGGTTGGACAAGCCCAGTAGACCTATTTCTCCTAGGACCATGAAAAGCCTGTCCCCCACATTTGGCTGGGAGCTAACTGTTAAAGTTGCAGCTCCTTGAGAGTTAACTCCAGAGACAGCTGCACTCCTCACCTTGTGTCTGCATAATTAACCAGCAGTTGTTCCTGCTTTGTGGAACATGGACCAGGCAACCCCTGTGAGGTCCTGTGGGGACATTCTCAGTCTGACTGGCAGGCAATTGGCAGGCAGACACAGCTTCTGCAATGCTTGACTGAAGGGACTGAGGACAGTCCAAGTTTTTCTTTCCCACCTCAAGTCACATTTATCCTTCTCTTCTGTCTCCCTTCCTCAAGACCCTCCCATCATGACCAGCCCCTCTGGACACTGACCCTGCTATTCTCCTGAGGTGGTCCAGATCGGCCCTGATATCTGCTTCTGGATTGGAATTTGAATTGAATCCCGAAAACCTTAAAATGTAAATTCTACAGTGTCTAAGCTAGAAGAACCTTAAATATCTTGTGGACAATCTCACCGTTATGCAGAAAAGGAAAGCACGTTGGCATACCCAAGGACACACAGCTGGCCAGGGCAGGGCTCAAGCCAACTCTAAGGGCTGATTATGGCCAAATTCCACTCACATTTCATCCTACCCAAAACCCTACAAGACATTCAGTCCACAATCATCTGGAGCTGCGTGATCTCCCTAGATAAGCTTCATGCCATCATTTTAACTCACATTTCTATACCTTCAACACTAACATCTTATTTTAATTCCAGACCTATTTTTTTAGGTACCTAAGATTCCTCAGATGCAACCCAACAGAACCTTGTTGCCTTCTTCTTTCCTAAACCTATGCAATCTTCTGTGTTCTTGCCTGTCTCCATTACATTCTTCTGGATGTGGATCTATTCTGGGAGGGAAATGAAGTGCCTGTTCCTCTGGGAGAGAAATGAAACATGTCTCCCGGCCAGATGGCCACAGGGAAATTGCTCTGGGGCTGAACCTCAGACATGAAGATGAACATGAGGCTACCATGATGACTGGCTTCCCCTAGTGGACTCTCAGGGAGTGGACACAGAAGCTTGGACATCTGACATCTCTCTGTTCTCATCCAGCCTCAGCTGTCCACATTCAGGGACTGAAATTCCTTCCTCCCAAGGGATTCAATCTGTGGTAGTTCAATCTCTTTCCAGGCGAGGGAGGTGTGTTAGAACCTAGTACTTCCCAAAGGTGAAGTGAAACCTGCCTCTCTCTAAATTCCACATTGCTAATTAAATATCCCATGTGACTGTCTATATAATATTAAACATGACCCCCATGTTTCCCAGACCAAACACCGTCCCTTCTCTAGACCAAGCATCTTCAGGTCCCAGTGCTCATGGGACCTAATCCCCAAACCACCCCAGATACACACCCTGTTTATGCCCATGGGGGTTAAACCCTGCATAAGGTGCTAAGGACAGACCTGGGTAGAGGAGAACTTCACCTCATGTGCCGTGTTCCAGCAGGAAGGTCAATCTGCTTGAAAACTGCCTGAGGTTACAGCAGTTGTGTGGGCCGCCCAGTCCACAGGTCCTCTTCCCAATCCTCCAAGAAAATGGGGCACAATTTCCATCGCAATGTCTCCTTCCTGCCCTCAGCCAGGACACCTGCCTTGTTTTCTCGCAGCCTCTCCTACACTTTTTTCAAACTCCTTCTCAGATCCTTCCTCTTCTATGGGTCTATGCTATGTGCACCTCTTTGCTGAAAGTAGGAGTGGGTCATTGCTCTTAAACATTACTTATAAAATGAGGAACTGAGCTGGGCAGTCACTAAGGTCTCTCCTCACCTTATATATCCTGTTATTTATTTGTCTTATCTGTTAACTTAATCACAGCTTCTAGTTTGCCTTCCTCCTCAAGGGCACGATAGGGTCTGACCCAGTTCTATTGCTAAATAAACACTTGCTTATTAAATTGAGTTGATACATATTAAGGAATGGAATGAACCAGGAAAGCGAGCTGTTGATAGGGAAAAGGTAGGTGCTGGTACAGAAACAGGCAGAGGAGGGGGCCCTTCCCCAGGAAGGTGACTTGGGTCAGGACAAGAAAGATGGGAATAGGCTAGAAGCAATGGACAACACTCAGAAGGGAAATAGGAGAGAGATCCTATCATGGCTACGCCTCTTGTTTAGGATTCTGGGTTAGGGTGGCTGTCGAAAAAGAGATTGAAGGGCAAGGGATATGATTGTCATTAGTCCAGGAGCTTCAGAATCAGGATTTGCAAGCCACTCACATCAACACTCTCAGCCTCCGTTTCCTTCACCTCCAAAATGAGAGACTTGTAGCAGAGCCTCAAAGTGTGGTTTGGGCTTGTTAGGAATGCAGGGTTCCGGGCCCCACTCTGGGATGGAATGGGCATTCAGCCAGATCCAAGGAGATGCATGCTAAAGTGTGAGAAGTGCTGTCCTGGACAACCTCTCTGAGATTCTAAAGCAGAGATTGTTGAGTGAGCCTCCATGATGCTCAGAGTCCGCTGCACCATAGAATCGCCTGGAGAGCTTCGAAAATCCCACGCCCACAAGAGAACTTTCTGGGATGGTGGATTATTCTACATCTTCACCGGGGTGGTGGTTACATAAATGTATACATTTGTCGAAACTCATGAACTGTACCCTTTCAATGGGGATATTGTAGTATGTGCAAACTATGCCTCAATAAAATTAATTTAAAAAAAACTATCCCTAAACTTAAATCATTACTTAGAATAAGGCTGTAATAAAGAATACTATATTTAAGAATATCAAGACTGCCTTGAAATATACTGTATTTCTCCCCCAAGGAAGGGGCTGTGCTCAGGAATAAGTCTGAGTTGGCTCATTTTCTAAGGATATAAATAAATGTTTCTTTACCTGATGCCACAGCCTATACCAATTAGGGCAAAATTTCTGGGTATCTTTTAAGCCTCTCCAGGAAATTCCAATGGGCAGCAGGGCTGAGAACTGCTTGAATGCCTCTTGCAGATGTTAGCAGTCAATCCTTACCATACCGCTGCATTGGGATCTTTCCGAGTGCCCAGCATTGTGCAGAGGGCAAAAGGTGGAGAGAGAGAGGAAAGCAGGAAACACACTACGTCTCTCAGTCACTGATGGTCTGGTTTGGAATATACAAGGCTGGACCTACCCAAAAAGCATGAAGTTACTACTGAGGCAGGGCCACTCTCACAAAGAGTTTGAGTCTCTGGTGTTTGGCTGGAGCCTCCATCCTCGCCCTACCCAGGCCTATCCCAGCATCTTGGATAATGTCAAAAGGCATGAGTCCCTTTCATATTATGGCAGGCCCCATGGAAGACAGCTACATCCTGCTTCTCAAACCAGATAAAGGCAGAGAGCACTGCCCTGGAGCTGCTGCTTCCAGCAGCCTGGTCTGCCTCCTACTCTGCCAGCCCAGCAGAAGATGCCCAGACCCACCAGAGTGGCAAGGACATGGTGACTTCTTGGAGGTCACAGTTATTCACCTCTGAGGTTGCTTGTGAGAGTCCTCCTCTCAGCTCCCATCCGACTTCTGCTTTTATAGATTAGTAAGTGGAGACTCAGAGAAGTCAAGCAGCTTCCCCAAAGTCACACAGCTAGAAAGGTAGAAGGGAGACCTTGAACCCATGCCCTCTGGCTCTAGAGCACATGCTCTTTCCAGAGTGCCACATGCTCCCCATTGGGCGGCAGGCTGAGATCTCCCCTCCCTTATGGATTAGCCAGAACCGATCAATTGCCCTACTATGCGGTACTGACTGGCTCCCTGGGACATGGGAGCAGGAAAATGAGGCAAAGTAACAACGGTGCTGTGTGTTGAGGGGGGTCGGGGTCTCTGGGTGACATCCCCTCAGCATGCAGTCCCAGGGAAATGCAGCCACTGGAGGGCACAGGTGCGTGGTGCTGCCTCAGAAAGAGGAACCACCATGTGCGAGCGGAAGAATTCAACTCCAGGAGGCGAGGGCATGGCGAGCCCCGCTGCCCCTCCCCCTTTGCCAGGGCAACGTGGGATGTCAGACAACACTATGGCCACCTCATTATTGGGCTGCTCGGCCATTGTCCCCGGGACAATGATTTCCGGCCCTGGCTTTATGTGGGGCTGCCAGCCGAAGTTATTAACCACGGGAGCTGCCTTTGAGGGACGTCCAAGGGAGGGGTGAAAGGTCACTGGAGCAGCGAGGGGAGCGGAAGTGGGAGGGAAAGGCAGCACAAAAGAAAGGGATGAACCCCCGTCCCCCTCCCCTGAAGGAGCCCCAAACAGAGCTGCGCCCAGAGGGAGGCATGCAGAGGCGCTTTCAGAGGAAGTTCTTGCTGCTGCAGCGGGACAGAAGCAGCTGGGATGGCTGACCATCCTGATAGGCCTTGGAGGTATCATGGTGGATAGGGATACAGGCTGCACGTGGAGAGGACTGAATGAGTTGGTGGGGGGGGAGGTGGGGGACGGGAAACAGGAGGCGGCAGCAGAGGTTGCGCTTGGGGCTTCTCAACTCACTCCTTAAATAGGTGTTTGCTTCTCAAGCCCTCTGATGTCCGTGACATCTGCCTGTGCCCCAACCCTCAGAGAAGCAAACTAGAGGGACCCCAATATGTTGATCCTGGTAAAGAAAGGTGCCCTTCTTCCCGAGGCTGCCCGTGTCAGCCCCTGCAGGTCTGGATGGTGCTGGCGAAGACACCATGGTTTAGGCTTGTCTGGGCGGGTGGTCGTGGAAATTTGGCCATAGATGGAATTGCAAAGGTTGCGTTAGTTATTCAGTGCCAATCTGCCTTTAATGAGACAGGGAATCTGATGCCCAGACAGGGAGAGGACTCTATCAAGGGCACAAACCCAGCAATGGGCGGAACTGAAACTTGGTACATTATCTGTTCCCTGCCCTTGAGAAAAACTGGACCTCTGGTGTTTGGCTGGAGCCTCCATCCTTGCCCTACCCAGGCCTATCCCACCTTCTTGGATAATGTCAAAAGGCATGAGTCCCTTTCCTAAGATGCCAGGCCCCATGGAAGACAGCTTTGTCCTGCCTCTCAAACCAGATAAAGGCAGAGAGCACTGCCCTAGAGCTGCCGCTTCCAGCAGCCTGGTCTGCCTCCTGCTCTGCCAGCCCAGCAGAAGATACCCAGACCACAGTGTGCTGCCCTCCAGAGCAGGGCTAGAAGGCGCGGATCTTTTGGTCATGAGGCCCCAGGAGGCCCATAGCTCATCCAAGGTTGAGGGGTCAGGGCAGGAACTCTGGTCTCGCTCATCACAGTCTCTCCTCCAGCCAGCACACAAGGACGGGACACAGGCATGGGTAGGTGGACCATCAGCTGAATTATAAGAAAGCATTTATAGTTTATCTGCAAGTTTGGATATGTCAGGACATTTGATGCGAAAGTATGAATTATTCTACCCAACTTTTATATTTAAGGTTGTATGTTTTTTAGAACTAGAAAGAATGCTTCAGTCCCACAATATGGTTGGTTGGAGAGGAGAAGAAAAAGAAGACATCAAAAAGAAAATTAGTGCTGGCTGGATATAGAGTATGAGGATGTGGAGCTGGGAAAACAGAGGATGTGGTGGGATGGGGAAGGAAAGGTTGTGGAAGGCCTGCACCCCGTCTCAGTTCCTCCACTGCTTCGTCCCAGATTCTGTTTTTGTTTTCCTGAATCAGACTTAGTCTCCCTCCATTCTCCCGTCCCCTGTGTGCCCCCATCCTGGTCCTGCCTCACTGGACAGCCTCTCCGCGGCCTTCCTCCTCCCTGCTCCAGAATTCTACCTGGTACCCCCCAACCCCACTCGACTCATTGTCCACCTGGCCTCTGAGGCCAGGCACCCTCATTCCCCTCTCCCACCCACCCCACCCAAGGAAGCCCAGCACAGACCATCTCAGCTCACTCCACCCTCACTTCTTTACCAAATGCATTTCCAAACACCCTCATGAGCTTTGCTGATCTCTTTGCCATCTCTCCCTGCCCTACTCCGAGGGCTCCTCCTGCCTGGTGAAGACTGCCCTGGGTACCCCAGAACTGAACCTGCAGCAGCCAGCACAGCTGACCTTGGGGCGATAAGCAGCCAGGGAAAGGCTTTCTTAAAAAAAAAAACAAAAAACAATAACTCAGTAAGCAGATTAAACAAAGGTAGAGACAGAGCCCTCCACCCCTCTCACACACACACTCATCCTCACACCCAGCTATACCACACCCCACAAATGTTGCTTATGTTTCCTTGGTCATTCTGTCCATCCTCCTGTCTGTCCAAAGCCAAGGACACTGCTCTACTCTAAATTTTTTGTCCCGAAGCCCCCAAATACTGCAACCCTGACCCAATACATGAAGCCACCCCAAAATACAGCAGAGGACACCAGGACTTTCATTTTCCCTCAGTATGGCCCATCCTTTGGGTATGCCAACTCCATGTCCACCAAGCACTGCATGTAGGACAGGGCACAGTTTGGAGGCCTTGGTCCAGCCACTGCCCCAGACCCACCTTGGCTCTCTCCTCACTAACACCCAAGAAGCCCAAACTTCCCCGTGTTTAGCAACAGATTAAACTCTAAGCCAACAACAACAGAACAGGGTGGAGTGAGTGGAAAGCAAATGAAATGTTAAAAAAAAATTAAGCAATACTTGCATTCTCATTAGTAGGAACATGTGAGATGAAGCACGTTATGTTATTAGGCATTCTCTTGATTCAGTAAACACAAGCTGAATAAATTTATAAATATCAGCATTAAGCGAGATTTAACGGGGAGCTGTTTATCTTCTGCCTGTCAGGCTGGCGGCAACACTCTCCATGTATCACTCGCCAGCCGTGCAGTCCTCACTCTCTTGCCCAGGTAAGCTGGGGCAGAGCCTGCTGCAGCCCAACTCTGGTTGTGGAAGGGCTGGCACCAAGGAGCTGCGAGCTTACCTCAACTCATCTCACCTCACCATGCCGGCTGCGAGGCGGCCCGTGCAGTCCGTGCTCAGGAGGTCACACTCCCATGCTGCATCCCAGCCTCTCCAGAAGCAGAGCATGACCTGGGTGACTTTGAGGATGCTATTTAACCTCTCTAAGCTAAAGCTCCTCAACTGCAGCATCAACAGATCAGTGCCGACCTGTTAAGGCCGTCGAGAGCATCAAATGCTACTGTTCAGCAGGTGCCTGACACATAGTAGGTCCACAAGCAAATGGTTTTCCTGCTTGCATCATTTCTAGCACAGAGCTGGAGGAAATGGCGAGGTGCAGGTGGCCGCTGGGCCCTGCTGTTCTACATGGGAGCAAGACAGCTGCTAGGTGAAGGGGAATGACCAGGCAGCCACAGGGAGGACATGTGGCCTCAGGAAGCCTGGGGGTGTATCCTGGTTCTGCTAGGAACACGTGTGGGGCTTTGTGTGGGTGACTCTCTGGCTCCCCAAGCCTCCCTTTCCTACTATTATATCCTTAAAGTGCCTCTGAGGCCAAAACCTTTGTGGCAATTGTCAAATGAGTCCATATGCAGTGAGTATTGTGTTGAGGGAGGACAAGGTCACCAAGAGCTGAGAATGTTTCTCCGAGTGATAAGACCTAGATATTGGGTACATGGAGGTCCCCGGTCCCTTTGTGATTCCTGCAGCCTGTTGCCTCCTTGCCTGGACCCCGCCTCAGCTCAGAAAGCCAATTCCCTAGATTCCAAAGGCCTTCCCAGACCAATTAGCATGTCCTGCAGCTGTCAGCTCCCTGTGCCTAGCCTGGACCTCAGCCCATGTCTAGCACCCAGTCTCCCAACCCCACACATATTCACAAATAAAAGAAAATAACAAATGACATAAATTCTTCACTCCTGGTCTGGCTTGCTGTGTGTAAACTGCTATGGCAATACAAGACGCAGAGGCAGGTACCCAATAAAAGCTGTTGAAAATGTGACTGACACCGATTTTCAGCTCTCCAGGAAGGCATGGATCCTTACAAGGTCCAAGCAGAGTCCTCGAGAATAGTTGAGAATTCTTGGGTTCCATAGGAACACAGGAGATACCCACACAAAAGCTTGGATTTCCCAATACATGACTACCCCTGAACACTCCTTCTTTCCCTCGTCTCTCTGCTGAGACCTCTAGAGCCCAAGGATCCACCCAGGACAACCTCTCCAAAGGTACCCTGATATGCTTTTCTTCCAGGCAGCATTTCCACAGAGCTGTGGGTGAAAGTCACAGGATGAAAATGTGCCATGGGACTGTATCTCCCACCAACACACTGCAGGCAAGGGGCACACAGAGTGCCCCCTCTGCCCATCCCAGGAATGGCCATCTAAGAATGATGCGATCTTTTCTAAAAAGAAAGTAAATAAAGGCAGGTGCCATATAAGAAGACCTTGGGGGACTATGGGAATTTTCCTTAATGTCTCAGAACATCTGCCTCCATCAATGAAATGAAGGATTCAAAGCAGCTCATTCCTGAGTTGACCTCAATGCTGAATCCTAAACATCACCGTTAGGACGCTATCTGGCTAGGCAGGGAATGAAGGATCTGGGAGCCGAGTTGCAGGAAGCTGCAGCAGCTTCCCATTTACAGATCCTCTAGTGCCAGTTTTTCAGGCTTCCTGACTAAGAGAAGCAGCCAGGCAAATTCCACCATTCAGCTACATTTACAGGAAGCTGGCTATTTGGGAGGCTCTCTACCAGAGGCTTTGGGGAAAAAAATGCAGAATTAATGTAAAGATCACATATTTACCTATGAGAGAAAAGATATCCAAGGATGCCCCTAGGCCTCATTTGATCTAAAACTAGGCCTGGAGCTACCTAATTGTCAAGTCAGTTCAGGCTTCTATAACAAAAATACTATAGACTGGGTGGCTTAAACAACAAACGTCTATTTCACATGCTGCTGAAGGGAACAACCATGGTCAGGAGCATGGTGAGGGCCCTCTTCCTGGCTTGGAGGTGGCCATCTTCTTGCTGTGTCATCACATGGCAGAGAGAGAGACAGAGAGAAAGAATGAGAATGAGAGGAAGCAAGCAGTTTCATATTATATCTTATAAGGGCACTAATCCCATCATGAGGGCTCCATCCTCATGACCCAATAGCCTCCCAAAGGCCCCATCTCCAAATACCACCCCACTGGTAGTTAGGGTTTCAACCTACACATTTGGGAGTATACAAATATGCAGTCCACAAAACAAATACCCCTAAGTTGTCTGCATATGTATGCTTGTTCTGGTGCTGCTTTGAGTATCTCAGACGACAGAATCGAGTGTAGATCAAACTTCTCTAGGCCTCAATAGGGTGAATCTAAAGATTGGGTCACAATAATGGCAATAAGCCACAATTCACTGGATTAATCTCACCTATCCACATTCAAAGTACCACAAGTACTTGTAGAAGTCTCTGAGCAGTGTCACAAAGACTGACATAGATACAGGCAAAATAGAAAATGGTTAGATGGTAGTACGGGATTGGGGGTGGTGTGTGAGTGTGTGTGTGTGTGTAAGTAAAGAGGATGTCTTGTACTTGGGATACATGGGGATATATTGTTTTTGAGGCTCTTCGGTGGCAATGCTTGCCCTGAGCTCAGGAGACAGTCAGGCCAGAGAGATATATCTGTTCCCTACTTAGAAAAGAGCACTGATGCATGGTCGGGAGGAGGCCAGAAAATAGTGTGTTGAAAGAAGAAAATGTGACCAAGGCCCCAGCATTAAAAATGAACCTTGAATTGGAGATGGGGAATGAAGAAAAAGTCAGAGAAGAGGGCATATGTGGAGTAATCTGAAAGACAGGAAGAGCCACAGGTGTGCACAGTAACCGGGATGTGAGGTTAGTAGAGAGCTTCAGGAAGGAGGGAAAAGGCATTCATGACAAACACTGCAGGACAGTAACAAAGACAGGGAATGAGTAAAAGCCATTGAGTTTGGCATTGATGAGCTTCATGGGAACCATACAAGGAGAAACCTGTGGAATGAAACCTAACTACACAAAGCCAAGGAATTAGTTAGCAGTAAGGACATTAAGGCGGTCTTATGGGTTAAATCATACACACCAAAAATATGTCAAAATTCTCATCCCAGTACCTAGAAATAGAATCTTATTTGAAAATAAAGTCTTTGCAGGTGTAATCAAGTTAAGATGAGGTCATTAGGATTGGTCCTTAAGCCAGTATGACTTGTGTCCTCGTAAGAGAGAGAAAGGTGCCAAGTGAAGACACAGACATTCAGAGAGAAGACAGAAGATGGAGGTGGAGGCTGAAGTGATACAGCCACAAGTCAAGGAACTCCTGGGTTACCAAAAGCTGGAATAGACAAAGAAGTATCCTCCCCTAGAGCCTTCAGAGGGAGCAAGGCCCTGCCATATCTTGATTTTGTAAGCCAGGTCTCCAAGATTGCAGGAGAATGAACTTCTGTTGTCTGAAGCAACCCAATTTGTGGGATTTAGTTATGGCACCCCTAGAAAACTAATAGAGGCAGTAAGGGCACTTTTATGAGAAATGTGTTCATGAAGAGATGGAGTTAAATGCTTTTAATAAAGAGAATGTTTGCTTTTCATGGACATACTTGAGAATGTTTACCGACTAAGAGGAAAGAATCTAGAGAGAGAGAGAGAGAGAGAAGTTGAAGATTCAAAACAATGGAAGGATGGTTAATAAAATATGGAGGAGGAAGAAAAAGATTAAAAGGAGAACTCAAGTGGCATAATTGGCCTAAAAAGGTGAGGGACACTTTGTCATCCCGGGCCAGGTGTCTTGGCCTAGATCCTATAGAAAGTAGAGCCTGAGGCAAGGATTGAAGTGCTGACATTTTATGTGGGGGAAGGGTGCAAGTTCAGGACAATGAAAGTGAGGAATAAATGGAGGCAGATGGAAGGCCCTGTGATGAAACGCATTGCTATCCTAGTGGCAACTTCACACCAAGCTGCAAAGATGCTGTATTAGTCAGAGTTCTCCAGAGAAACAGAATTAATACAACATAGAGATAGAGATATATACATAGATATAGAGATAGATCTCTCACATACAGACCTATATATCTATACATGGAGAGAGAGAGAGGAACAGAGTGGGGACAGGGGCACAGAGAGAGACACATTGAGAGACAGATTTATTATAAGGAGTTAGTTCATGTGATTATGGAGCTGAGAATTCCCAAGATCTGCCATCTGCAAGCTGAAGAACCGGGAAAGCCAGCAATACAGTTCTACAGTCCAAGTCCAAAGGCCTGACCACTAGGAATTCCAATGCTGTAAGTTCCAGTTCAAAGGTAGAAGACTGATGTCCCAGCTCAAGCAGTTAGACAGAGGGCAAATTCACTTTTCCTCTGCCTTTTTGTTCTATTCAGGCCCTCAATTGATTGGCACTTCTACATTAGGGAGGGCAATCTACTTTATTCAGTCAGCTGATTCAAATGCACATCTCATCCAGAAACACACCCACAGAAACACCTGAGAAATAATGTTTAGCCAGACACCTGGGCACCCCATGGTCTAGTCAAGTTGATACATAAAATTAACCATCACAGACATACAGCAGGACACTCATGAGACATGCTTGCTTGACATGCTGGGCTTCTCTGTAGGATTTGCAAGGAGAAATCATACCTTAAAGTATTCGCAGGAAGGAGGAGGAGGATTTATCTGACCATCTTCCTCCAGTCTTCCATTTCCCACCAATCAAGATTTACCCAACAGTGAGCAAATCCCCCTGGGCTTCTGGATTGCATCATCCAGTCCCCATTCACCACAACACCAAATCCCATGGTGTGATCCAGCCTGGAAAAGGAGGGAAAACTCAGAATTGTCTGGGCACCTAACGAGAGAAAATAGAGGCAGTTGAGGAAATCCAAGAAAGCACACAAAGTTTGTGTCCAAAATTAAGAGAGAGATAAAAAAAGAAAAACAGGTAAGTGAAAATATAGAGACATTTTTAAAATAAAAAGAAGTTGAGGAAACTGACTTTGAGTGGTAGGTGATGTTCAGAGAGATCTCAAGTAAACTGTGAGAAAGGAAGGAATGGGGAACATGGCTATGACCCCAAAACCTTAAGGACCTGCAATATGTTTTTAAAAAGTAAAAGAAGCCTTGTTATTACTGCAATACTGTAGAATACTAGAAATTCAGAGCAGACATTACACAACACTTTCTTTAACCTTTTCACTTTAAAGATGAGACAACAAAGGCCGGGAGAGAATTAATGGTAACTAACTTTCATAAATGTACAATGTTTGTTGTGAATGAACCTCTGTGTGTGTGTGTGTGTGTGTGTGTGTGTGTGTGTGTGTGTGTGTGTGTCCCCAGGATGTCATCTACACATTTCTCCACCTGGTGGCTCCTGCCTGAATGACAGGCAGAGTCCAGCCAGTGGAAAGAAGCAGCAGAGGACACTGTCTTGGAATCCCAGAAGAAAATCTTAAGAGCTGAGACCTGAGGCCTCCTTCACAGACCCAGGCCAGCTTCTCATGGACTAGCCTTGGTCCTCAGAGACTCAGAATGTTTGCTGCCCCTCTCTCCAGTTCTGTGATCCCTCCTCTGTAGCTCCCTTTTCATACAAGAAAATACCAACCAGGGGGAAAGCAACGAACAAAAGGTATAATGTTTGACCAGTGGTCGTGGACGCTAATTCTTTGAAGACTTCCAAGATGGTAAATGGAAAGAACAACCCACATGCATGCACATACATATACATATACAAAATGCAAAGACTAAGACCCAATTAGCCTCTCTCTCTGTTTCTTTTACAGGAAGGGAAGTATCACCGGCCTGAACTACTACTCCCCATCCCCTGCAACTGCCATTCTTTCTGACTTGTCTCTAGAAAAGGCCATGTGACCTCTCCCTCAGGCTGACGCATTGTCCCAGCCAGAATGTCCAGCCAAAGCAGAATAAAGCATCTACTGGACCTAAAAGAGTGCCCCTGATATCTCCCAACTGGGTTCTGAAAGGATTCCCTGAGGGGATTTTATCATAGACACATTTAAAATGCCAAGAATGAATCAATGTGTCACCAAATTTCAGTGTCAGTGCTAGAGGCAGATTTATGGCTCAAATGAAGTCGGTTTAAAAAAAAAGAAGAAGAAATTTCACTTTATTCTCTAGCTGTGAAAATATTCTCTGAGGAGTCTCCTGTCAGAACACCTATATGACCAAGAGTGGAATTTATCAGAGCAGATGTGAGAATAAGAGTTTAGTGTTAGTTCTCTATTGCCATGTAACAAATTACCCAAAACTTAGAAGTTTAGAACAACAAATATTTATTATCTCAGACATCTATTCCTGAGGGTCAGCAATCCAAGAGCTGCACAGCTGGGTGATTCTGGCTCAGGGTTTTTCATGAGGTTACAGTCAAGCTGTCAACCAGTCCTACAGTCATATGAAATCTTGACTGAGGCTGAAGGATCCACATCCACAATGTCGCCTAATTTCTGACTGGAGGCCTTGGGTTCCTAATGGCTGTTGGCAGGAAGCTTCAGTTTCTCTCCACATGGGCTTCTCCATGGGGATACCTGAGTGTTCTCATGACATAGTAGTGGACATGTGATCCAAGAAAGAGCAGGACAGAAGCCTTGTCTGTCAAAATCTAGACTCAGGATTGATATACCATCAATCTGCTGTACTCTACTGGTCGTATAGACTAACTCTGATAACATGTGAGAAAGAAATACACAAGGGCCTAAATAGTGGGAGGCAGGGAATGCTTTGCCTTTGGGATTCTCTAGTGGCCACCTTTAAGGCTGGCTACAACATATTAGGTGGTAAATGCAATGGAATTCATGACTCCAATATATAGAATAAAAATAGAATGACTAATAAATACTGAAGATTGGTGGTGCTCAGATTTGAGCAGGCATCAGAATCACCTGTGTATTTAGCAATACACAGATAGCTAGAATCCACCCCTAGAGTTTGTGATTCAGTAGGTCTTAGGTGGGGTTGAAGAACTGGAATTTCAAGTAAGTTTCCAGATAATGCTGATGCTGCTAGTCTGGGGGCCACACTTGTTGTAGATAAGTCTGTCAAAATTTCGAATTTGAACATACCTTAAAGGTCTTCTGATTCAATGGTTTCCAAGTCCAGATGACCATTAGAATCACCTGTGGGAGACTCTTCCCCACCCCAACTCAAGAGTCTATGATTTTTTAAACTCCTCTAGCCAATTTCATGATCAATCAGGTTTGGAAATCCCCAACCCCAAAGTCTCCTCTGCTTAGCATCCTCAGCATCAACCCTCCTCTTAAAGAAGACTCTTAGCAAATTGTGGTGTATGTATATACCATAGAATACTACTCAGCCATAAAAAGGAATGAAATAATGGCATTCGCAGCAACCTGGATAGAACTGGAGATCATTATTCTAAGTGAAGTATCTCAGGAATAAAAAAGCAAACATCATATGTTCTCACTCATAAGTGGAAACTAAGCTATGAGGATGCTAAGGCATAGGAATGATACAATGGACCTTGGGACTCGGGGGAAAGGGTGGGAGGAGGGGTGAGGGATAAGACTACACAATGGGTACAGTGTACACTCCTTGGGTAATGGGGGCACCAGAATCTCAGAAATCACCACTAAAGAACTTATTCATGTAACCAAACACCACCTGTTCCCCAAAAACCTATTGAATTTTTTTTTTAAAGAAGACTTGTAGCATAGCAATAGGCCATTAACTCCCTCCTAAGGCAATGCCCATTACAGTGTGGGCAGATCAACTGCCTCAAACGTGCTACTCGGACTTAAGCAAAACTGACTTGTCCACGATGTTCACACATTGCTCACCAAGCCTATGGATTCTCTCTCCTCATAACCACTGTCTAGTTTTCTAAAAAGGACTTTTATTTCACCCTCAGTCTTCTATTTTTTAGGCAAAATATCCTTTGTTCCTGTAATTCATCCTCAGTGGGCATGGTATACACTGTTCTCATGGTTCCTAGTCCTCTCTGTTTCTCTTTCTCAGTCTCCTTCTTTGTAGGTAATGGTTAGAATGGAGCTATTAACCCAAGTGTGGTGCAACTCAAAGAAGTATAGAGGAAATATAGCACTTTTATCTTGGATGTGCTTTTCCTATTGGTCCCACCTAAGAATATAACAACCTTTCAGTCAGTCCCAGCACACTGGATAGGAAATTATGACAAATAGATATTTAGAAAACTCCCAAGCCATCTGAGAAAGCACCCTCAATGAGTATCTTCGAGATGTCTAAGCAGCCCAAAAGATCTTGACTTCCTATTCTCTGAGAACTGCAATCTTTATTCACAAAAATGAACCCCCAATAGCCTCAGTGAGAGTGGACTGGACCAGGGTGTCAAGCAACACAGGCTGGGATGAGGAGATTCTCTTTGATGAAAGAGGAGTGGTCACTCTCTTCATGAGGATCTAATGAGTAATCTCAGGACCTGCCTTTTGCCTGATGGAAAAGAGAACTTCCCTGCAGAGATACAGAAAGAGAAGCCAATGCTCCAATAGAAACAGAGGGGGGAGGAGGTGGAAGAGATGGAGGGAGAGAGAGAAAGAGAGAGAAAGAAAGAGAGAGAGAGGGAGGGAGGGAGGGAGGGAAACAGATGGTCAGCAGCCCAGTGAGTGACCTTCTGGGTCCTGGTTCTGGTCATTTCTGAAACTCAGCTGCATCATTGACCTTGGGTTCCATAACCCATCTCTGCATCTCTATAACCCATCTCCTATATTTTTTGCCTAATCGGGCCTAATTGTTTGCCATTTTTTCAACTAAAGAGTGTCAGTGAATAGAATACAATTTCCAGAAGACCTTTGGCACTGCTTGTGCTATTATGTCTGCATTGGGTGGAAACAAGCCTCCCTTGTGCAGGGTTGATATTTATTCCTTGGGCCTCTAGACCCATCAAGACCTTTCTTTTCACCTAAATCAGTTGAGGACCTGTCTGCACTCCATTAAGCCAGCACCTTTCCCACCCCATCACAGCTCACTCCAGGGTAAGCCCAATTTTATATTCAAAACCTTTTAAAAACTTTTTGGAAATGTCCGTTTTGGGGTGAAGAAAGCACTATGAGAAAACTGGAGCTTCAGCTCACACTGACATGTTCACACCACCTCACTCCCTCTCACACGGCTCCAACCCTAAAGTGAAATTCACCTACATGAAAGCTGCCTTCCAGTCTGCTCTCCTACTTCCATACCTTCTCTCTCAACTATTTCTTCTTGGAACACTCAATTACTACTTACTGCTTCTCAATATTGAGAACCTACGTGTACCAGGAGCTGTGTAGGTCAGTGGGGACACAGAGAGGATAAGGCAGTCCCAGGTTCTGGCCTCAGAGAGCTTCTAAGAATGCCCTCCTTGCAGCCTTCCAAATCCCACCACTCACAGAGCTCACTGCTCAGATACTTGTCCTCATCCCCTTCCCATTCCCAGCCTGCCTGCATCTCCATCAAATTGCACCTAAAGATCTATTCCCTGACGGTCTTGCTCTCTGGTTTCTGAGTGATGGCAAGCTCATTGAATGGTCCAGTGTCTGCTAATAACTCTGCTGAGCCTTTGGCTTAATATCATCACACTACTCCCAACAAAAATATTTGTGTTTTAACACATCTCTAAAGTCATAGTGCCTGAAATAGAGAAGAGACCTGACCTATTGAATATCATTTCAATCAAGATGCTTGTCTTATTCTTCCAAGTGACCTCTTCATGAAGATTCCACTTTTCCTGGGCAAAGCCTGGGGATTCAAGGATCTTGTCCAGATTCCAGTTCCCTTCCTGATGGTGTTCCCTAGTCCCAGAGACAGACTCTGGAATTGGAAGGCCTGGGTCCAAGTCCTGATTTCTGCACACAGTCATTAAATGACCTGACCTTGAGTATGGTGTTTAGCTCATCAGAGCTTCACTTTGCTCATCCGTAAAACAGATCAACAGTAACCTTATCAACTGCTCATGAAAATGATATGAGATAATGCTATTAAATTACTCTGGGATACGAATGCTGCCATTATTTCAAGCAGTCTCTCCGCCTTCCCCCAACTCAGCACAGCACCCGTGGCAAAGGAGATGTGAGACAGGAGAGCTCAACCCACTCTGGGTGCATGGCTGAGAAAGTGCTAATGAAACACTTTTATCTTCTAGGTCCTTCACCAGCGGGCAGGGAAGGGGAAGGAGTGACTAAAAACGTGCTGAAAGCACACCTGTAAAATAAATCCTAAGCTCATCATTCCCTTTCTTGTCCCTGGACCTAGGTCTACCCTGAACCTAGAATAGTATTAACTGACTGTCTTTCTGGGCTGACTCCAGACAGCAATGGTGATCCATTAGGCTCCCAGTTCCAGAGGCTCCACAGAGCAAAGTGAAAGGAAATGTTGCCTGCTTTCCTCGGGAGTATCATGGGAGGGGCTGTGGCATGACCCCTGGTGTGTACTCTCTGGAAGACTACAGAATGCTGGTGGCTAAGGGATTCCACACCCCTTCCACCTTTTCGTCCACATTGTTTCCTCCTCTGTCTTTTACATGGGCATCTACGTCTACTTCTGAGCCCAATCTATGACCCATGCATTCATTCATTCACTATGTATTGGTTGTCTACTCTGCATCAGACACTCTGCATGGAAATGAAACACAGCAACTCCCATTACCACCCCCCACCCCCATAATGCCTGTCTCCTAGTCCAAGGAAGAGAAATTTGTAGGAAAGGACCATCCGAACTAGCTTGCAGAAGTGAGGGGGAGGGGGTGGGACTCCTGAGTCAGTCTGGGATAACGAGTAAAAACTTAAGCAGAACTGGAGAAGCCCGTCCTGCATCTCCCTTTCCTTATCTGTAAGAATCAGGCCTCCTTCCTGCTCTTGTCCCTTGGCTCCTAAGACCCTGGGGCAGCTGGAAGGGGTGGATGTTGGCCTGGGGATGGAGAGGGACTTGAGTGGGACAGTGAGCAGGCCAGGAGCAGTTTACAGACAAAACCTCAGGTAGGTTGAGGAAGCCAGAACCATGAGACAGAGGCGACTGGAGTCAGAAACAAACGCCATGATCTGGAGTCTCCCAGGTCTGTGTCTGAGCCTCCATCAGAGCACAAGTACGTGGAGGGAAAGGAGTCTGGTCTCAAGCAGTCAGCTTCCTCTCCTGAATGGGAAACGATGGACCTGGGAGACCAGCTGGCTGGGGTTTAAACCCCAGGCCCGCCTGTCACCATCTACATGGCCTTGGTGAATTTGCCTGATTATCTTAAGCATCAGAATGTTCATCTGAGAAAACAAACAAAAAACATTCGTAAGGATCTGCCGCTGACAGTTCGTGTCCTGCTTTTCTCTAATAATCAGTGCCACTTCGGGTGAAACATTCCTGCAGTTTTTAACCACCTGCTACCTGATGTCATAGTTCTTTGTGTAGTCACCAAGACAGATTCCTCCTGAGGAGCTATGAGTTCCAGGCAGGAGTTGTGACTGTCCTTCCCTGGAATACCCACGGAACTCAGTCCAGTGTCTGGCACACGTAGGTGATCAGAAAACAGCTGTCTTCCTCCTTCATTCAGCCCACGGAGAGGCGGGCTGTGAATGCGCTTTGCCGGGGGGGATGGGGAACCTGCTGCGCCTCTCCTGGCGCCTGGAGGCCCAGCCCTGCGGGGCGGAGGGGCTGGAAACCTGACAGCTCCCGACCTGTGAGGGCCGCCACCTGCGGAATCCCACAGGGCAGCGCGGGGAAGCAGAGCGCGCGCTGGGCCCTGGTGTCCCGGGACGCTGCAGGACGACGCTCCGTTAACCTCCTGGCTCGTTCTGATACTGAGGCTGCATAAAAAGAAGGATCCCATACAAATGAAGGCCAGTGTAGCGGAAGGCTAAATACTTTTAATTAAAGGAAGGCACCTGGAGACCCAGCCGCTGGGAGGAGTGAACTAGAGAAAGTCCGCTGTGCTCTGGGCGGGGATGGGGAGAGACACCCTGGCCCTGGAGGGGCTCGCCATTCCTCCAGGGCCCTTCTCCTCTGCTACCCCACCCCTCCTCCCTACTCCTCCCACCTTCAGCAGGCAGAGGGGACAGGAGGTGGCCTGACCCAGAGGAGTTAAGGGTGAGGCTTGGGCGCCTGGAGGAGAGGGGACTTTCTGTCCTTTGGAACAACTCTGACATTGTGTCTCTGACCCAGAGCCCTGGGGACTCAACCCTCAGACCCCGATCTGAAGGTGCGGAAGGAGAAAGTGATTGTCCCCAGGCCACTAGGCAAGTGAGAAACACTCAGGCTTCCCAGGACTGCCAGCATCAGGGCCTTCTTGCTGCCCTGCTGCAAATTCTAGGCAGCAGTGAAGCCAAGGATAACACCTTGGGGAGCCTTTAGAGCACTCGCATTTCTTCTTCATCATCACCGGCATGACTAAAATTTGCAGAGCTCTTAACAAGCCCTGTGCCATGCGCTTCATCATCTCATTTAATCCTCACACAACTCCTGAAATGAAGGTGTTCTCATGATCCCCATTCCACAGGTGAGGTCACTGGGGGTTCAGAAGGGCTAAATCACCTGTTAAGGTCCCACAGTAACTTGCATAGAGGAGTCTCCAAGACAGTCCAACTCAGAAGTTCAAGGTTGCAGACCTTTTTCCTTAGAGATAAGGCACCAAGAATGGTGAAAATGTTGGACACGCCACGCTTTGGACAGCATCTGACACATAGTTGGTGCTTGCTCATAAAGTAGGTGTTCAGTCATTGCAGTGGCCTCCTCCTTTAGCCAGACCTCCCTTCCCATGGTCAGGGTGTGTGTGTTCCCCTGGAGGATGACTCTGGAGAGACAAAACATGGGACACAGGGACCACCTGCTGGCCCCCAAGAGCCAGGGTCAGGGGCAAAGGCATCTCAGATGCCTGGGTCCTGACCTCTAAACCAGGGTCTTTTCTGCAAGTGAAGATGGGAAAGGGTGAGTGCTGGCGCAGTCTCTTCCTCTCTCTTTGTGGAAAGGTATGATGAGGATTGGGGATAAAGCAGAACTGATATCTCTGAACCTGTAACTAATATCCAGAACCCAAAATGGCCCTGGTTGGCTTTAAGCTTCTTGATTCAGATTCACCTTTTTTTAGCACTCACTACATGCCAGGCACTCAAGTATCTTGCAATGTGCCAAGCAAAGGTATATCCTTATTCACTTGCCTTTTAGAACCAAGGTTCCTGTGGACACCAGGCACAGTGGCTCACACCTGTAATCCCAGCAACTTGGGAGACCAAGGCAGGAGGATGGCTTGAGCCCAGGAGTTCGAGATCAGCCTGGGCAACATGACGGGACTGATTTCTACTAAAATAAAATAAAATAAAATAAATTTGCTGGGTATGGTGGTGTACGCCAGTGATCCCAGATACTCAGGAGGCTAAGACAGACAGATTGCCTGAGCCCAGGAGGTTGAGGCTTCAGACTGCAGTGAGCTGTGATCAAACCACTGCACTCCAGCCTGGGTGACAGAATGAGACCCTGTCTCAAAAAAAAGGTTGCTTTATTCAAATTGGATTCTACCTCATCATGCCATCTCCTGTGCGGTTACTAATAATGAAAAAAATAAACAGCCTAAGCAGGGACTTCCTTGCAGTCACTGAATGGTCCTGTGGAGTGAAACCTACCAGTGACCTTGGCCTGAGTGTCAACAGGGTACAAAGCCCTGTAGAACTCCTTGCTCCTAGAAGGACAATAACAAACACAATCTTGTACAGACCAAGAGTTCAGTAGCACCAAATCCTTGTCTAATGGTCTGCTGAGAACCAGTTCTGGGAAGGAAGATCTTCAAGAATGGATAGTGACTTGATGGGAATTTCTGGACCCAGTCATGACAGAAGGGAACCTTTTGGACTTCTGAAAAATCAGCAAGTGCTCAACAGTCTTCACCAAGCAAAGCAAATGTTGGAGGACAATAGTCAATGCCAATGTCATCAGGAGTCAAACAGTAATGATCTTGTCTACCACTCCTCATAGGGCCTGAAGCTAGAACGCGGTTATTTACTCCTTCTCCCATCTACTTCTCCCTGGATCTCAGCGCAGGCCAGAGTAAGTGAGCCCCACAGAATTGACCTCATCCTCCCCCAGGGCCATTAGAACAATACCTCCCCCTTTGGGGCACCTGTAAATCAGGGCCCCAAAAGGGTCTGGCAGTGCTGGAATGAGGTGTGGCTTGGCAAGGAGACCTGCATGTTTAGTACAATGGCGTGATTGTGTGGATTGTTCCAACCCAGCAGCGCTCAAGTGGTCACATGTTCCCTGGGCAGCAGGTGCTATAACCTTTGCCCAGAGATTTGGAGCCTTCGGTGGTGAGACTGAGTGCCGACGAGGAGGAGAGCGGCCTGGCTGTCTCCCACTGCCCTTGGGATCTGGGGAAGGTCACTCCCTGACCCTGCCCATGGCCTGTGCCCAATTCTCACCCATATTCTACTCAGAGGGTCCTCAGCTATCCAGAAAAAAGAGAGAGGCAGGCAGCATGCCCAGGTAAACAATAAAAGGCTACTGAGTTTCTGCTTCTGCCACTAGCTGCCAAGAACCAAAGAGCGGCAGGCACAGCTAAGACTTCAGTCCAGTGTTTATCTTATTAACTGCTGTGTGCCCAGCACCCAGCACCACACCATCACAATGAGGCCATTGTGTAACCCTTGCCACTCAGTCATTCCATCGAACACTCATGTAAGCACAAGCTTTTACTGAGCATTGTCTCTGTGCCAGACACTGTTCTAGGCACTGGGGATACAGCAGTAAGCAAAACTACCAAGAATTCCTGCCCTCATGTAACTTACCTTCTACTGGGGAGAGACAGATGATAAATAAATAAGTGAAGTAGACAATATGTCAAATGGTGAAGAGAAATAAAGCAGAGTGAAAGGGATAAAGCCGGTGGCGGCGTGGTGGGGGAGGCAGCGTTGGTTTGCAATAGGGGGATTGGAGAAGAGTTCCCTGAGAAGCTATCTTGGAGCCAAGACTTGGAGGTGAGGGCTCAAGCATCTCATCAGCCCATCTATGGCAGTATTGGTCCTAGACCAGCATCCCCTCCTCACTTCTCTGATCTGACTGTCATCAGACAGAAACTTCCCCTGGGCCACTGGAAGATTTTGAGGTGGGAGGAGCCATATCTGCTTGCAGTGACTACTGGGCTTGGGGAAGCTGAAGCTCACCAAAGGACATGGGAAGATAGGATGGGGCTTACACTCATTCTGGTCTTCACAGGGCTGCAGCCCATCACCAGCAGTCAAGGATAGAATTGAGAGTCGAAAGCTGACTATGACAATATTTCCCCACCCATCCCCATCACCACTTCCCTCTATCCTCAGGGCTGCCATCATCCCTTAGAATTATGGGAACACAGTGCCCCACCAACACCCCACCCTGCCTACAACCTGGCCTCCTGCAATCCATTCGCCACACTGTAGCCAGAAAAAGCTTTCCAAAACATGTCTGTTCCTTCACTTTCCCCAACTAAGATCCCTTTGCTTTTTAGTATAAAGTCCACATTTCGCAACATGCCTACAAAGATTTTTGTGATCTAACCCAGCACACTTTCCCAGACCCATCTCTCAGCTCTCACTACAGATAACACACACACACACACACACACACACACACACACACACACATACAAACATGCACTCTATTACTGTACTTTATTTCCCACTACACTGAACTTAGTTCCCTAAATGTACCTGGCCCTGTCTGGATTCTGGACCTTTTTCTGCCAGTACCAAAACATTCCACCTTTACCCTTCACATTCTCACATTTGCCTGGTGGATTCCAACTTTTCTTTCTAGTCTCTGCTTAGAGGTCTCTTTTTCTGGACAGCCAAGGCTCTGTGGGTTACCCTCACTGCTCCCCACACCTCCGCCTCTACACTCTAGCCACATTACAGCACGAAGCACACCTCCCTACCAGGACCTGCTTATTGGTTCCATGAGGACATGGTTCTTGTTTCAGTCGCCACTGTGTTCCCAGGTCCTAGCAGATAGTCCAGCACTTACTAGATGCTCAGTAAATGCTTGTACAGCTAAATACGTCAAAGGGGAGGAAGATCGGAAAATAGAAAGGGCTGTCCTGGTGAGGGAACCATGGCATTATATTGATCATCATAATTGCCTCATCCCTTACTTTTCTCCATTTCTTAATAGCTTACAAATCATTTTCACGTCACCCTGCTAATAAGATGTGGCTGTTACATGTATAGTTTTACTAAGTGTGAGAAACCCGAGAATTTGAGGTCAATGCTCACAGCAGAGCGGTATCACGAACCCAGGTCTCTCTGACTTTGAGTCCAGGGTGCTTTCCACAACTCACAACTCCTTGGGCTCTAGAATGGAGAGACTAAGTTTCAAACATGGCAGTACAGCTATCTCTTGAATCCTGAACAAGAGACCATAAGACTGAACTCAGTCACCTAATTTGACTTGTCAAAGTGGCTTGAGGATCTCAGGGGGTCAGCGTGTACCCTCTCTTTATTTCCTGGTTACCTGTGGGCAGTCAAGGCTGCTTTCAGGATCAGGAGCATTACCCAGTCAGGACGTGCATCCTAAGCTTCTGTACACCTTGGTCACTGCCTGGAAAATGGCAATGGCCCTGGACTGGGGAATCTCTCCAGGTACTCCCTTACGCTTCCCTACCTGCTTACCTTTAGTCTTTAAAGGGATATTCAAAAGCTGCAAAAAGACAAGACAGACTAGGTTTATGGGA
The DNA here is from genome assembly GCF_000001405.40 of Homo sapiens. Lineage (NCBI taxonomy): Eukaryota > Metazoa > Chordata > Mammalia > Primates > Hominidae > Homo > Homo sapiens. Next base: position 406,623 of record NW_025791760.1, on the reverse strand, counting down.
AGCTAACTTGTCCATATTCATTCTAAAGGTGCCCAACATGTACTCCCACTGTTCCCTTTGTCACTTCTCATCTCTCCAGGAAAATATTTATACATACAGTTCATTACAGAACAATCTTTTTTTGTGGAGTACACTATCTTGGCTCACTGCAACCTCCAACTCCTGGGTTCATGGAGAAACTGAGCCTGGAACGCCATGGCTCTGGAAGCCATGGGAATGGTATCTTCTATTCTGGATTCTGCTCTCCAGAGTCACAGGTCCCTGGTAGCATGGAACACTCTCTCAGAACTCAGAGAGTTCTCAGACAGTAGAACTTGGCAGCCCATTGAGCTGCTGGAGTAGGCTCTAGTCTGTGACTGTAGTCTTGGACGCCGTAAGAGAAGACTCCTGAGCCCCAGAGAGTGCACAGTCAGATCTAGGATGGAAGGGAGGAATAAGGTCACTCACACCTGAGAGACCACCTCCTCAGTTTGTCCTCATTGCTCCTTCTCCCCAGCCGCCTTGCCCCACTGCCATTTTTGGGACCTCTCTCTGTCTCTCGGTATCCCTGGTATAACGACTGTGACACCTCACCAAGGTCCATGCGCAATGCTTCTCTGCCATCTTTCTTGTGGCTAGTTTGACTTTCAGCCACTAACATTTATTGAGCACTCACTGTGCTCCAAACACTTTGTCTGCCTTAAACATCATAATATCGTACAAGAGAAGTGCCATTATTAGTCTCAGTCTTCAGACATAGAAACTTTGGCTCAGAGAAGTTGAGTGATTGGCACAAGGTCACACAGCCAGTATGAGAATGTGCCAGGGTTCTGGCTTTGGCCACCAGATTCCCAGCCCAGCAGTGTGAGCCCTATGGTCTCTCTGCATTATGGAAGAAAGGGTACCAGACCCCAAATAGGAAAAAAATCATTCTCTCAAGACTCTAGGCCATCTTCACTGGAGCAAGTGATTCTACTTAAAAAATAAAATCTCAGAGCAGATGGGATCAAAATCTATAAAGTGCAGGGAATGTGGACAAAGTGGACAGAAATTACCAGAGACACAGCACACTCCAGGAGGTTCAAAGGAGTGGTGTTTGGAACAAATAAAAGGAAACGCTACATGACATAAAATATGGTAGGCCTAAAAATAGAAAGAATTTTAAAACAAGTTTAGAAAATGTGTAAATGGATGACTCACTCATTCTTGCCACAAGTGTGTTCTGTGTCTGTGCTTTGCAAGCCCAGTAGGAGTTCAGTCGGAGAGCGATGGGATTCACCATGACACCAGCCTTTGATTCCTTTACATTCTTGCAGTTACCTACCCACTCTGTGGGCCTAAAAATCATACATCTCGTTACTGGGGTCAAGCTTCTTCTCAACAGTCCACTAGTGGCCCCTAACACTGACACTGTTTTTAAGTTTATTTTCTAGTTTATTCTAATGCTTCCTTGGAGTTATTACAGTTGTCCATGCCTTGGAGCTACTCCATGGGGTAGTGAAGAGAATGCTGGTTCAGGTGTTAGATGGACCTGAGTTCAGATCCTGGTTCTGCTGCTCAGCAAATGGGTGACCCAGAGCACCCTCTGCGGCACAGTTGCCTCAAAGCCCTGGCTTCACTGGGTGTTGTGAAAGATAAATGGGGCTGTGTAGAAGGCACTCCACAGTTCCTGGCATTAAGTAATACTTAGTAAATTACAGTAGTAGTAGCTGTTGTTGTTAGAAGGAAATACCATGCTTAGCATTCCCTCGGGGTAATGGTATGTCCACCCTGGTGTGGGGGCCACAAGCAGCAAGGATAGCCACTGAAGCATAGAGAGGAAAATGGGGTTCCAGATCCCTAAGCCCTCCAGGCTGCTCCTTCAGATGCAGGGAAGGCAGGCGCTGTGTGGTCCACAACATGACACAAGAGGACACAGCCCTGTAGTGAGCCTAGCCCCATGAAGGAGTGGGTGAAGCACCCAAGTTTGCTCCACTCAGAATGTGCCAGAAGCCCTCCTGGGGTAAGCAAAAGGCCAGTTAGATCTCTTGAATCTTCTCTATGCCTCAACCTCATTCCCTTGCCCCACTCAAACCTGCAGAGTCCCTGGTCCCTTCAACGGTCCCTGGGCACTGCCAGGAGCTGGGGAGGATAGGCCCTGTTCCGTGGTTTGTGCCCACAGCAGGAACCGCTGGCATTCCAAGGCCACAAAGAACAAAAGCCAATCCTGAGTCTGCTGAAAAGCCCTGGGCCTGGGTTTTTTCCTTGGCACTTCCCCAAGAACAGCTGTCAGGAAGGCAGCCACTCCAGGGCCCTGGCACTGGTTGGAGAGGATTCCTGCGCCCTGACTCCTGCTGCTCTGGGCTGGACCACAGGGGCCTAGCTGAGGGGAGGGCATTCCTGCCCGGTGAGCTGCTCTCATTCTTATGGTTTTCATTGAAATGTGCCTGTGGAAGAATCACCAGCAGAGTATCACAGAGAAATATGACCCTCCAGGATACCTCTAACAAGGATCAGATAGTAATGGGCAGATGATGTAATGCACCACTCTCTCAGGAGCAAATGAGATAAATGGAAATGTTCATGGAGGCTTACTGAGCAATGGAGGCTTCAGCAGTGGCTGTTCCCACCTTCACCATAAGGTCTGTCCTCAGTGTAGTTGTGAATGGAGTCAGTGTAGTTGTGTGGAGTCAGTGTAGTTGTGAATGGGAGCTTAAATGGAGGGCTTTACTCTGGGCACACCAACTCTCTTACAGCAATGGGGATGGAGCTGGAGGCTGTGATCCTAAGCAAATTAATGCAGAATCAGAAAATTAAATGCTGTATGTTCTCACTTATAATTGGGAGCTAAGCATTGAACACACAGAGACATCAGTATGGGAAAAATAGACTCTGTGATCTACTTGAGAGTGGAGGGAGAGGGATGGGTTAAAAAAACTACTTAACTTGGGGCGGCCTCTACAGCCAGCCCCGCTTGTCTCTCACAGGATCCCTCCTCCTGCTCCTGGCATGCTCCTGGCAGCCATGAGCCCGCCCGGTTGCATGCCCACTCGCCTCTGCCTGGAGGAGTGCTGCCGCGGGGGCGCGCCCCAGGTCCCCTACCCTGAGCCCTGATGCCCAGCTCCAGCGTCAAGATGCCAGAAGAACAAGAACCCAGCGCCGGCCTGACCTACCCAGCGCCTGCGCCCCGGCCTGCAAGACACCACGCCCTCCTCTGCTCTGCGTGGTGCGTGGAGGGGCCCCTTCGGATCGATCGCAGCCGCTGCCACCATAGCCGCCACCATAGTCGCTGAGGCAGGCGTCAGTGGGAAGGACCTGAGAGTGGCTTTCCCAGCCGGCTGCCACACAGGACCTCTGGATGCTTAGCCCGCCCGGCCGAGAGCTCTAAAGTCAAGGCATGACTTAACAGCTTATCTTGGAGGAGAACAGCTCAACTCAAAGGCAGATTGCCAGTTCGGAGTTTATTACAAGCAGAACTGCTATGATGTGCTTTTAGCACTGAAGTGAACTCCATTGTAAGTACAGAAAGTGGCATCTCTGCTTTCCCCCAGAAGCACAATCGTATACACCTTGCAGACTTGAATCACTGAAGATGTAAGCCAACTGTTACTCTGAGTTTCGGAGACCCCCTGTGGACAGCATGAAGCCTGTCCCTGATCAAAGTCTTAGTAAGCAGGAAGGAGTCAAGGTTAAGGAATGCGTCTGATTACCCTGAACTGTAGTACCTTGGAAAGTGAACCAAGGCTTGAGTTTTGTTCTGGAAGCCTGCCTTGCCTGCTTCTGTAATCTGGCGCTCTGCATGTGAATCTTGGATCTATATGGACACTGCTATATGTTACTGTCATGATTCTCTGCTCTTCCATGAGCTCAGACTTGGCACCTTATTTTACTTCTGAGCCACCTCTACCGTCCAGAAAGGTGGTGGACCTGTAGAACTACATTGTTCTGCCAAACCTGTGACCACTCATAGCTCATGGTTGCATAATGGAAAAAAGGATAGAAATATGGAACATACAAAGCTTCATCAGGGGACTTTGACAATGCTTTCTCTGAACTTCTCTCTTTTGGGTTTCTACCAATCCATTGCCAACAATAGCGTTGGTATTATTTTGAGTGGCCCTGTAACAGTATCCGTGGCAGTTTTTGGTGATTTTGGTTCATCCACAAAGTATGTTATTACAGAGGAGGAAAAAGTGCTGTCAGGATAATAGAAACGATGTCAGCTGTGATCGTGCAGAAAATCCAGAAGAGTTCAGCAGAGGAGACAGCTGTGTCTATTCAGAAACAGACAGCAACATTTTACGTTGGAATCCTCTTATTCTGCCACCTATCTCAGAGGACTGTGCTGAAGAGACAACATGGCCTCCGCCTGGTGTTCCTTTGCACAGCCCCTCAGGGGTCCTCCAGCAGCTCCAGGAAACTGGAGGATGTGCAAACAACCAGTCATGTTCCAACTTCAATCCTGTAACTAACTGCACAAAACAGGCCTGGGAGTGAACTGTTTGAAGGACCTTAATTCAAATCAGAGAAAATGACTATTTTTTTTTTTTTTGTAGCATAATGTCATGTCAATGTGTCTTAAAGTGTGAGCCCTTTTATATTATTTATGCCTTAAAAGTTTTCTTACCCATTCCTTCCTTCCTTTCAGGAAGAAACAACCTTGTTTTGCATAGCTTTCAATCACCTGGAGGGCAGAGGGATCATTCCATGTTTTCTAACAACCATAGTGGCAGTAAGAACTCCTCATGCAAACGATTCCGTCTCTTGGATGCTTCTGCTCAGAGGAAATGCAGAGGCCAATTGAAGGTTGCCACCAGTGAGGTTTTCAGGTGGAAAACTGTCTTTTAATAGTGTATTATCAAACTTTCTGAGAACACTTTGAAGTCAACCACAGTTTTGACCCAGTGTTTATAATAGCAGACCTGGCCGTTGAATTTTTTAAGAGTGCCTTCCACCAAAGTGGTAACGTGACCAGACGACTTTCTCTCTATCTGCACGTAGGCACAAGTGATGTTCAGTCTTCTAGGCGCTAGTCATAAGTGGTGTCGTGGACATGGTAGAGTGTGAGATGTAGTTGAATGATTGCAGTATGCAGAAAAGGAACCAAGACCAGAGAGACAAATAATGCCTTACTATCCCTCTGCTTTAAAATTCATTGATTGATAAAATGGCTGGTATGGGGCTCTTTTTGACTGCTTCTAAGAGTAGGAACAAAATAAGACTTTAAGTCGTGGCTTGAAAAGAAAGATACACATTTTCAGAAGAAAGAAAGGGGAGGGCTGCAGGGAACCTGTCTTGGAGGGAGCTCTTCAGTCAGCTCCATTAGCCTAGGAGCGTGCTCATGGTGTCACACTGCCAGTAACTAGTCACTCTCTCACTTCCAACAGGGGCAACAGCCTGAAGGTGTGAGTGTCAGAAAATACTTACTTTGGAAGAAAGGTGTGTTTTTTGTTGTTGTTGTTGTTTTTTTTTACCCTGAAGTTTCCTGACTTTTTTTTTCCAGAATGTCTTCCTTGTAAACAGGCACCTAAAGCATCGGTCAGCAGAGTTCCTGATGACTGCTACCTCTGTGTGACAAGGACATTTGCAGCTGTCTTTGGAAGGCTATTCTCCACATTAATAAATGATAATAATGATGATAATATATTTTTTAAAAACTACCTATTGGGTACTATGCTGACTACCAAGGTGACAGGATCTGTATTCCAATGACAGCAGTAATGCAAACATACAATTCTGTAGCCACTTATATTTTAATAGCATTATACTCTTTTAACCATCCTCATCTTGTATATAATCTCATTGTATGTTAGAATACAGCTATTAGAGCAATAAGGAAGAATGGATAAATAATCAGGTTTTTGTTTTTGTTTTGTTTTGTTTTGTTTTTCTTTGAGACAGGCTCTCACTCTGTCACCCAGGTTGGAGTGCAGTGGTGAGATCACAGCTCACTGCAGAGTCGATCTCCCCAGATCAAGCAGTCCTCCAACCTCAGCCTCGCAAATAGCTGGACTACAGGCTGAATTGTCATGCCTGAGTAATTTTGTTGTTGCTGTTGTTGGAGAGACAGGGTCTCACCCTGTTGCCCAGGCTTCTCTCCAACTCCTGGCTCAAGTGATCCTCCCACCTCAGCCTCTAAAAGTGCTGGGACTATATATATATATAATATACATGTATATATGTATATATGTATATTTTCTGTATCTATAATAATAGTCCTTGGAAAATTAGCTTACTGCTTGAAAAAATATATATGAATGACCGCTTTGAAATATATGTATTTTATATATATACATATCTATATACACACACACATATATATGCATATATATGCAACCTTCCAGTGACAGTAGGTACGCTTTTGGCTTCTGAGATGAACATATTCATGATGATAAATATTTACTATGAATTCAGCTAAACATGAAACTCAGCAATATTCATGTCTATTTTTCTCTATTTCTACCTAAATCTGTATTTGAAAAGTTGTGCCTAAGCCTTCCTAGTTAGTTAGATTTTTATCCTTTACCATTCAATGCGTGTGTGGCTTGGAGACTGTTTTCACAGATCAGGAAGTTGACAATTATGTCCCACATTCAGTGGACTAACAACTCAGAGATCCTCTCTGTCATTAAACTTGTAGATCAGAGTTACTCCTTATAGATGGAGTCAGCCTTTTTTAGACTTTGTCCTCAGCAATCCTCATTAAAGGAGGCATTATTTTCTTGCTTTAAATAAATTCAAAAAACACATATCAGAAACTTTTGATATGTTTGTTGTGTGCCATATTGTCAGTAATTAAATTAAATACTAGAAAATACACCATTAAATATGATATTTGATATACAGTTGGCCCTCCATATGATAGGGTTCTGCATCCATGGATTCAACTCATCATGGATTTAAAAATTTCAGGAAAAGAATTGAATGATTACGTTTTCACTGAACATGTGCAGACTTTTTTTTGCTTGTCATTATTCCCTAAGTCATATAGTGTAACAACTACTTACATAGCATTTACACTGCATTAAGTATTTTAAGTAATCTAGAGATAATTAAAGTACATTGGAGGATGTGCTTAGGCTACATGCAAATACTTCACCATCTTATGTAAGGACATCTGAGGATTATTAGCATCCAAGATTTTGGTATCTGTGGGGAGTCCTGGAATCAATTTCCAGTCGATACTTAAGGAAAGGCTTCATACCAAGTTAACATGACCAAAATATACATATTTCTGATAATAAGGATATTTTACTGCACATGTGTCTTAAAAATTTCAAAGACCTTAATAAATTTGGAATTTTATTAAAGTGTAATGAGGCTTCTGAGTATTCTGTATTTTCTGAAGCAAAAAGTGAGTCTTACTTTCTATTCTGGTAATGACATGTTCCCAGGTAACTGTCTGTAGGATGCCATCGGTGAAATTACTAAAACCTAACAGGTTTTCAGTCTTTTATCTGTATCATTGTCATTCTGTTAAGATCTGTGTCCATCAATAGTTTGTTCCTGAGCTAAAGAAAATTGACTGAGCCTATCAATTTGATAAGCATCCAATTTATATCTTCATTAAATAATATTTCTCAGTATCCCTGTTGATTTTGGTTACATTCAGTAGCCAAAATCAATAGTAATACAGGGGTAAATTTGGTAGCCTTTTAAATAGTTGTATCATATGTTTTCATCAATTAGTTTGTGCATTTATTCTTTTATTCAAACAGACAATTATTGAATATCAGTTATATCTTAACCATTGTCTACTTTCTTGGAATATAACTGTATGTAGTACAAACACAATCCTTTTCTTGTAATTTGAAAAGCAGAAAATAAGCCTACTATTACATTGTGAGTTTTACAAAGAAAAGTATAAGGTTTTCTGAGTCTTTAAAACAAATAGCCTAATCTAGCCCAGGAGCTAAAGAAAGAATTCCCTGAAGAAATATTGGAACTTACACTTGATGAAATGTGACTTAGCAGATGTGGAACAGAGAAAAGGAAATTCCGGTTCAAGGGGAAGAACCCCGTGCTCTTGCATTAACCCATCAGTTTGGATAAACACACGCAGGTATTCATTTACCTGGGCTGGCTTGGAAATCTAGGGGAAAAAAAAGATACAGCATAAAAGAAAAGACATGCACAGTATTCTAAGAGAGAGTAGTTTAATGAAAATCAAAACAAATGTATACCTCCGCAATTTAAAAATGGTACAAATTTTATAGAAACAGATAAAGAAAATCAAGTAGTCAGTAGGTTAGCATTTTCAGAAGATGGTGTTTCTGATACCTTTAGTCATGTTACTGACCTATCCCTGATTCTGTGAGTGCAAACGTCTAAGAGTGTAAGGGAAAGAACCTGAGAGGCTACAAATGAGAAACCTGTTGGCCACATTAACAAAGCTTACCATACCAGATTCATAATCTAGAAACATCCCTATCTGTCCTAGAGGCCTTTCTGTATACTGAGGTAATAGTGAGGAAGAGGTCTTGAGATGACACCAGTAGCCTTCTTGACACGAAATGTAGAAAAAAATTCTTGGAGTTAACCAGCATGTCATTTCTTATTGTCCAAGAATCGTTGCAAAATCCAACAGCCCAGTTCCAACACTGCCCAACATCCACCTCTCAGTAATATCTTCAAAAGTGAATGGCAGGGCTTGCCATCAAGAAAACAGATTTTGTTGGAGCTGGGGCAATGCTGAGATCATCAGAACCAAAGAGTAGCTGTCTCAGAACTTCAAACGAGGGGGATGCAAGAAGTGGTTATTTTATTATCCCGGGAAATATGTGCTGCAGGAATAAGAAAACAGTCACATGAAAACACAGTGTTATAAACTTCTAATGGAGGTGGGCTTTGCATAGTGTCTACATATGTCAGGTTGTCACTGGAAATATGGGTCAGGACAGCAGGAATACTCGTGAAGTTTACTGATGTTCAAGGGTTACTCCATATTCATAACAAGCAAATCCTGAACCAGAAAAATGGGGAAAAATTACAATATTTTTTGGAATCTATAAAGAACAGAAATTATTGCTAAGCTCACATGCCCTAGAACATTTAAATTTGTAGAATTTTTAATAATTCGAAGTGAGTAGCAAAAGCAGCTTGCTCTTATTCTCAGAAAAATAATGTAAATAATAACTCTTATTTTAAATAACCACTTTGTCTCCGATTTACGGATTTTTCACTGAAGCATGCATAGGTATAATAAAGTAAAAGAAAATCCACATATGCTTTTGAAAGATTTCTTTGTGAGAATTCTCTGCCAGAGTATCTCTTGAGAAAGGGATAAATCCAGTGAAATTAGTTGCCAGTTGACTTTGTGGCTGTTGTTATAAATATTCCTCTAATGATTTTAATATCGTGGATGATTATACAAACTATTTTGTGTATTGTTATACACCACTGTAATACTGAGTGTCAGTAACCACAAGCTGGGGCTTGACAAGCTTACCTGAGGCAGGCATCCTGCTTCCTCAGACCCAGCTTCCCTAAGGGCACCCTACAGCCTTTCCATTTGAAGTTGGAATCCACCATCTGCTACCTACAAAAGCCCCAAATCCTTGAGGGTCTTTTCTTTTGCTTCTTTACACCCTGCTTTCACCATACACTGTCAGAAATACTTACCCTTCCCCCATAAGTCCTGGCGTAATTTGGGGCTGTTATGTCAATTTCTTTATACACTTTGACAATTAAAATTGGAAATGGTAATTTTCTCTACGTGATTTCTCTATAGTTCCTTGAAAATAATAGCCCTGCCTAACAAACAAACAAACAAAATCTTTCTACCCTTTAAGAAGGGGAAGACTAAATATACTATGAAGGAGGGTACATTTTCATAAGAAACTATGTTCCCACTTCAGTATGAGACTGATCACTGTTACAGTTCTCAAAACTTGAATATAGGAAGAAATTTACCTTTCTAACACATTTCTAAAATTAGGTAAGAAAGAATAGAGAAAGTCTTAGCATTCATCACAAAATTCATAGTGAAGGCTTAATTTATTAGATTCCTGAGGATGGGTGAGCCCAAAGTTTATAGCAATTGGTATCCAGGAAATGGCCATCGAGGAAATATATTGCATGGATTCCCAAATTTCTAAATATCTGAATATATTTAAATACAAATTCAAAAAGCTTCAAATAAACTTTTTTACTGCAGTTTTTCAGCAATTGAATGAATTTTGAAAGGAAATTTTTTTCTGGGGTGTTTTCTACTGTTTTTGTTTGTTTGTGTTTTGCTCCTGGATCAAGAAAAACTGACTTTGTCTCTTTTGTTACTAGACAAGCAATTCACTTTCAAGCATCATGAAAGCATCATTCCAAACACATCACAGAAGGCAAAGAGAATGAGGTCATTTTTCCCAGTGGACTCTCTTGTTCTCAGTCCTAATCTGGAGCAGCTCCAGGTCTGGTTTATGGTACATTTCCTTCAGTTTCTTATACATTCCTCCTACGGCTTTCTCCTTTCATTTCATTCTGCCTTTACTGTCTTTACTTCTCTTTGCTTTCCTATTCCAGTCTCTCCAAGTGACATTCCTCTTCCTCATAAAGCAAATGACAAACTCTGCAATACACAGCATGAATCATCTTCCTCTGTAGATTCACATGACCCTGAAGTAATAATGAAATCATTGGAACACATAGTCTACTTTTATTCATGCCTTTTTATTTCTTGTTTTATCTTAAGATATTTAGCAATTTGTTGCAATGAATGAACCAAAAATTAGAGACTGGTTTCTCTTTCGTTTCTTCCTTTTCTTTCCTTCTTTTCTGTGTATGTATGTATATATGTATTTGCACCAGAAGTCAAAATCTGGCCTTCAACTCTTTGCCCTCAAGTATCTACACTTGATTTAAAAATGGTAGCTTATGATTTGATAATTAATTATCTTATAATACACAAAAACCTCATTACTAAATCCGTTTAGTTTCTTTATTCTCAAATATTTTACCTGTACGCTGATTCTTTATTCTCAAAAACAGTAGCGAATATTACTTCATAGAATGACATAAGATGTTTCCAAAATTTTTTCTTTTAGCAATTCAAAAACTACCTGCTAACCAGAGCCTGACCCCATTAGTGCAACTTGCTTCTTCTTTTCTAAGGCTTTGCCCTACACGTAGAAGCTGACTTCCATGCTATTCTCAGAGACATTATTCAACAGACAATCGCCTTCCAATATTAATTTCCTCTCTCACTTTCTTGTTCTCGCCTTCTCTTTGTTATTTTCTCTCAATTTTAAAACCTACTTTATTTACTCCCACTGTTTCGAAATAAAACTAAATAGCTACATTGACCCAATATCTTCACTTGATTTTTGTGCTATCTCCTTTGTCCATAACAAAGCATATTCCTGACCACATGAGTATGTTCGCTGTACTCATTTGTGAAACTTTCCATCTTTCTTCAACTCAATGAAATCTTTCATACCCAACAGTTTACACAAACCATGTTCTTCATCTCACCACCAATATCCTTTGAACTACATTCTTTATCTGACCACGAACTTCCTTTGCTAAACCCACATATTTTGATTCCCATTATTTCTAGTCCTTTCTTCTGTAAAACTCATACAAACTTGGTTTCTGAAAATTATTTTTAAAAATAAAATAAAACCTTCTCTCATATTTTTCTTCTATCAACTCATGTTTACCAGTTTTTCTTTCCTAGCCTGGCCCATTAATACATGGATTACAGAAGGTGTTTTATTTAACCCCACCCCTCCACTGCCTCCTTGGCACTTTCCTGATTAACCTGAAAGCTCCAGAACTGGGGACAGCTGGTTCCCCTTTCATTCCCCCATATGGAGGTTGGGTTGGGTGGCCTCGCAAAGCCCCAGCTGCCTTTACATATTTTGGTAGCGGTTCAATTGTCTTTCTGGAAAATAATCATTTCAGATCACTAATTTAACCCACCCACTTTCACTTACACATACAAAGAATGTGCAGGGAGGAAGCAGAGTTTTCTTTCATCCTGGAGCTGTGGATGATGGACAGAGAAGCTGACTGCTTTCTCTCTGCACACTCTCTGAAAAAGCCTTAGTTCCTCCTCCCTGCACTCCCTGCAGCCCCTCTCTTTACCCTCCCAAGACCTTTAGTGCTCACACTTTATCCAGCTCATGTAGATACTATTCCCAGTAACCAAAATCTCCCGCCATTATTAACACAAGAGGAATAGAGGAGAAATCCATCCCCCATCCCTACTCCTGTCAGAGCAAGACAGCCACCCCAAACATCCGTTCATCTCCAGAATTTTCCCACTACTAATAAGGAATAGTCAAGATCAACCCTTTGGGTGCCTTTTTCTAACCTCCTTTCCCAAGTGTAGCTGACTTAATTGAAACATTTTCTAAAGCCAAAAACTTGCACTTGAATTTGCTGATAGTTTGCTGGAGACACCTCATGGTCCACAGTACCATATCTGAGAGTAAACCACACAGTCAGGTAATTAGCCATTGTGAAAGATGGGGGTGGTAGCTGCTTGTTATTAGGGATTCTATACATTTCAGATCTCTCTCTCGTATATGCAATATATATATGTAATGTATTATATATGATACTGGAAGTAAACTACATATTAAACAATATATAACACATATATTCATGTATATGTATAATATACATATATATATTATATATAGCTAAAGACATAGATACATAGATATGTAGATAGATATGTACCTCTAGCTCTACCTATGGTATTTCTTTCTGACTCGTCGTCACTGTTGCTCAGGCTGGAGTGCAGTGCTGCTATCTCACTCACTTCAAATTTTGCCCCCCAGGTTCAAGCTATTCGCATGCCTCCGCCTCCTAAGTAGCTGGGAGTACAGGCATGCGTCACCACACTCTGCTAATCTTTGTATTTTTAGTAGAGAGGGGGTTTCACCTTGTTGGCTAGGCTGATCTCGAACTTCTTACCTCAAGTGATCTGTCTGCCTGGGGCACCAAAAGTGCTGGGATTACAAGTGTGAGCCACCACACCAGGCTTATAATACATTCCTGGATGAGGTGTTTTGGAGCAAGGATGGGCAAAAAGGCTGCTAGGTAGGGTCCTGGAGGGATACTGCAGGGACCAGGAGCAGTGCTTGGAGGAGGAGAGGATCAGGACATACTGCAGAAATTGACCTTCAGGAATAGCTGGAGGTGGCCAGGCACAGTGATGGAGCTGGATCCAGTGAGGTGGGGCGGAGATTTCTGCTGGGCTGGAAACCAAGAGGACTGCCCAGAGACACTTCTGTCAAGGTTGCAGCCAAAGAGTATAAGCTCACTGTATCCCTGGCACTAAGGTTCTTTTAAGAACGCTAGTTGTTACTTCATGAACAGTCATATCAAGGCATACTATTTTTGGAAAGGCATTTTCTTCCCTCTGCCCTCTCCTTAAATAAGAAACAAAGAACAATAACAACAACAGCATGTCCTATTGATGCTATTTGTATGGAACGAAACTTGAACTTTTATAAGGTAAAGATCGGTCAAGATAGCTTTCCTAGCATCCTGACTCTAGAGCTCTCCTGTTGATTCCATAAGGTATTCAATAATAAGAGTGTCGACTTTTTGCTCTGTCCTGGTTCTGCTTCTGTCTCCACTTACTTTATGGGGGCCTTCGCTTTTTTTGATCCTATTGTGTCAGCCTTGTTTAATATGTAGTTTACTCCCAGTATATTCTTCTCAGTATGGAATTTGATCCTGGAAGAGAATTTGGGCTGGTTATTTTAAGAGCTGTAGAAGCCATATGGTCCCAGCCGCTTTTTATCTTATCCTGCACTCTTGCTTATTGATGTGTGCAAACTCCCACCCTACTCAGTTTCAGCAGCTCTTTTTTAATTACCTTGCACACTTTCTAATGAATCCTCGTTGCTGACTTGGGGCGTTCTCAAATCTACATGTGTTCTGTTCACCCTCTCTGCTTCATCCTGAAAGGATTCTGATTCCTCATGGATATTGCTGTTGCACCTGATTTGTCTGTGACTATTCATATTTGGGATTTTTGTAGGGTACATTGTCACTCAGTGTTGTTGTAGATATTGTTCATGAATTTTGATTTTGTTATTCTAGATTTTACTGTTTTTCTTTAGAGGTTTGGAAATGGTCTGTAAGTATACTGCACCTCTCTAACTTTTCAGAATTTTAAGGTGCAAATTTTTAAAATGTGCAAACAAGGAATGCCTCTAAACTGGATCTCAATGTGTTTAGCAGGTTCCATGAGCTGTGTGTAACAGAAGACCAGAACAAAAGAATTGTAGAAGTAGCTTCTCCACAGGCATCACGGCCTTCTTCTCTTCGAGTGTTTCGGTATGCTGTTTCCTCTGTCTGGACGTCACTTCCACTTCCAATACTTCTTTTTTGAATTAATACTTGTTTTATCAAGGATAAATTTTGATTTAATTGCCTTGCAGAAACATTTTTACATTTAAAAAATTGTATTGTACTTTCTATCAATTGCATTGCATTCAAGGATCTCCCATTATTATGTACAAATATATATATAGTGTGTATACCTATACATATACACATACATATATATACACACACATACATATACACACACCCATAGAATCAACACTATTTTTTAAAATTTCTGGTACTTAGGTCAAAGTTGGGATCAAATTCTAGCAAGGGTGCAGGTCTTTATGCATTGCAGACAAATATCGTTCATTGAATTTTTATTTATTGAATGTAATATATCTTGTTATGTAATATGCATTACTTAAAGGTTTTGTTGGAATTAAATAAAGGAGAAATATGGATGATGAAAGGAATAAAGGAAAAAAAATGTGAAAATCAACCTAACATTTTCTGTAAATCTACTGTGAGATAGGTACTTTATAAGCATTAAGTGTAACCTTTACCTATATGTAATCTCACTGTAATTTTTTTGGTTTTTTTTTTTTGGTTTTGTTTTGAGATGGAGTCTCGCTCTGTCACCCAGAGTGGCCCGCAGTGGCATGATCTGGGCTTATTGCACCCTCTGCCTCCAAGGTTCAAGCAATTCTCTTGCCTCAGCCTCTTGAGTAGCTGAGATTACAGGCAAGTGTCACTGCACCCCGGTAATTTTTGTATTTTTAGTAGAGAGGAGGATTCACCATGTTGGCCAGGCTGGTCTCGAACTCCTGACCTCAAGTGATCTGCCACACTCAGCCTCCCAAAGTGCTAGGATTATAGGCATGAGCCACCATGCCTGGCCTAATCTCACTGTAATTTTATTCCCACTTCATGAATGTATAGATGAGGTAACAAAAGCGAAGAGATCATTATTTTAACCAATGATATTTTATTATAATAGCAAACTCAGAAGTTCAGTTTCTATTTGTCAGTACTTCTGCTTTTTAAACCAAATAATACCATCTTTAACTCTGAGTGTCACGAAGTCAAGAATTGTACCTTTCATCTGTGTGTCACACATAAGGAGGGCAAGACTTAAAAAAGAGTAGATGCTGAATGAATTTTAAAACGCTGTATTTAAAATCACAAGCAAAGCCCCAACTGCATTTGTACATCTCACCATCTAGCCTGAGCTATAGGCCTTACTACCACTTAGTGGCAAATGTGAATTATGGTATCTTCTAAATTGGAAGTAAAAAGAATCAGATCTTTAAAGTTAATTTTGCAAACTTGATGTTAAGAAGCGAAACAAGGGGCATAATATGCAAATACATTTTCTAAATAAATTCAACCCATCAGCCATCTAGAATTCATGAAAAAATGGTGAAAATGCCTAAATCCCCAGAATCTGTAAGAAAATGAAAGTGTGATAGTAAATTTTATGTGTCAGCTTGAATTGGTCTCTGTAAAGTAGGTTTCCCTCCCCAGTAGCTCCTGAATAGAACAAAGGGCAGATGATAGAGGAGTTTGACCCTTTTGTTCCTGCCTCACTTCTTAAGCTAGTACATCTCATCTTCTCTTCTCTTACCCTTGACCTGGGGTTTACACCATTGGCTTCCCTGGTCCCCAGGCCTTCAGACTCAGATTGAATGACACCTCTGGCTTTCCTAACTGACCAGCTTGCAGATTGCAGATCATGGTATTTTTTGCCTCCACAATTTTGTGAGCCAATTCTTCATCATAAAATTGGTCTTTCTGGGTGGGCGGATCACTTGAGGTCAGGAGTTCGAGACCAGCCTGGCCAACATGGCGAAGCCCTGTCTTTACTAAAAATACAAAAATTAGTCAGGCGTGGTGGCGGGTGTCCGTAATTCCAGCTACTTAGGAGGATGAGGCAGGAGCATCTTTTGAATCTAGGAGGCGGATGTTGCAGTGAGCCCAGATCGCACCACTGCACTGCAGCCTGGGCGACAAGACACCGTATCTGTCCCTCTCTGTCTCCTCTCTGTATTATTCTATCTCTCCCTCTGTCACTCTGTTTCTCTCTCTATGTTGGTGCTACTGTTTCTCTGAAGGATGATGACTAATACACTAAGGAAAAATTACATAAATATATGATAAATTTAACAAAATAAATTTTTAAAAATCGATATACATTATAAAGTTAACCAAATAATAATAACAGTAAATAGCAATTTTCTTTTTTTATAATTTATTTCAAATGTACACATCAGCATAATTTTCATGATTTTAAATTCTGTAAGCATTAGATTGAAAGTCAGAAGCAAGCCAAGAACATATTACTTTATTATTGCTTAACATTCTCCTGGATACTTTAATCTGATACATTTAGAGGTATAAAATGGTAAATATTTTCATTATTTTCTGAAACTTATTTACCTAGAAAAAACTTTTAAATAAAAATTTATTAAGATATCTAGGGACAAAATAAACACATGATAGTCAGTGGTTTTCATACAAAAAGTATACATCTACTTCTGTGATGCTTATATTCATGAGAACAAAATATGAAAATAGCCAGAAATGTTTAAGAGAATGAAGGTATACTGAGAAGGCACTAACCTCAGGTTGATTTTCAAACATATTAGTAAACCAAAAAAAATTAAAACAATGTTATATTGGTGCATGAATTCATAGAGCAGATAGTGAAACAGAATAGTGTATTTATCTATATGTGTCTTTCTGTGCATCTTTCTATCAATCCTGAGTGCTTAAGGTGAGATTCACTTGCACCTGAATCAGCAGAAAATATTTGGAGCTTCAAGAATAAATGCAGATGGCACTTAGAGATGCTGCACCCGATGTCATAAGGGATTCTGTGGAGGAGCTCATTCCAATGAAATAGGTAAGTTTTTATTTTGTATTTTCATTTTTTTGGAAATGAGAAAGAAAAGTCTCAATGAAAGCTAAGAGTCAGACATATATACGGAAATATTGCTGCCTACTCCCAGGCATGCGAGTGACCAACTCCCTACTTCAGGGAGTGGAGGAGTGAGATATCAAGAGTACAACAATTTTGTTAAGACACCTACCCCACCTTTCATCAAATATCCCCAAGCCTAGACTAAGTGCAGGAGTCCTGAAAAACATTTCCACAGGGAAGGTCGGGGTCCCAGGCTCATGGGTGTCTTCTTACTGCCTTTAGCAGAACAAAAATGAGTAAAGCAAAGCTTCTTGCTTCAGAAATATTCAGTCTAGTACAGTGTGTATCCTACATCTAATCATCGCTTCATTCCAGAAGCTTTAATTGCACAAAATTCACTGGGAAAGGCATGATATTTGTCTGTTTTTTAAGGATAAGGTTGGTATTGGCTCAAACTTATATTTATTCTCCGCAAAGAGTCCCTCCCAGGTTTGTAATCCTGATGTAAGAGGGTGCTGCACCAAGTTGCTTCTTTCCAACCTGTCCTACTTTGTGTAGAGGAGGAGAGCGGGGAAGGAAGAAAAGAGAAAAAAAAAAAGCAAAGAAGTAAAAAGAGGCAGAAGGACAGTCCCTTTTCCTTGACACGGATGGCATGAATGGGCTTTTGCGGAGAAACTCTGCCTGACCCTGGAGTCTGAGTCAGGCAGAGTCTGAGTCAGGTGGAGTCCCAGTTAGAAGTCCTCTGAGGAAGCTGCACTAGAGTCACTGCCCTCAGACATCAACTTCCATGTCTTCCCCACTGCTGCAGTCTAAAGAGTTACTGCTTTCTTCCTCTTCGCCATCTTTCTTCCTGTTCTCTTCTGGTTCCATGGAGACCTGACAGTTTACCCAAATAGTCTGTGATGCCTCTGTTCCTGCAGCCTGGAGCCCCTGCCCCTCCCCAAACCCTTCTTGCAGACCCTTTGCTGATGAGGACTGCGGATCTGTTTGTTTCAAGCTGGGGGCCGGGCCTCCCATCATCGCCATATTCTTACCCTTAGCATAGGTCGATTCTTTGTACGCAGCATAATCTTCAGGTGACAAAGTCTTGAGCCAGAGATCCAATTCCACTTTGTATTCCTTCTGCAGCAACTCAGCCTGGCTCTTGTAATGATCCTTCTGGCTCTGCGGGATGCGCTGCCAGCGTCTGCCAATCTCTACCATGCGCTCCCTCAGGGACAAATGTTGCAGCTCCTTACTTGACCAGGAATCTTGGTGAAACTTGTGGTATCCATTCATGGGGGGTTTCTGAGGCTCTCCATGAAATTTTACCTTCTTGAAAAATTGATCCGTTTTTGGAAGAGACGTCACTTCTTCAATATTTTTCTGAACTTTCTTTTGCACTTTGGTTTGAATCCTCTTGGAGATATCAGATTTCTTGCCCTTCTGGTCTAAATCAGGGTGCTCTTCCCTGAATCGAACAAGTTTTTCCTCAAATTCTTGCTTTTCCTTCTGGAAATCCTGAATATATTTCTGTTTCATCTGCTCTGGGAGCTCCTTGTATTTCTTTGACAGGATTTTGGTCAGTTCCTGGCTTCTCATCCCAGGGTACATTTGGGAGTACTGGGGCCAATTCTCCTTGAAGAAGCGGATATAAGCAGTAAGGGGCCTCTTTGGAAAGTCTGGATGGTTCCTGCCTTTTTGGCTTTTGTTTGTATTTTTAACACATTTCTTAGCTTCCAGGACTAATTTTTTCAAAGTGCTGAATTTTCTCAAGCTGCAAGAAATCTCTAACCATTTGAGTCTGCACATTTCACCAGAAAAGTTTTTAAAAGCTACTTTTCCCCAGTCCATGTGTGACTGAGTTGAGCTGAACGTGCCGTTGTCATCAGATGGGAGATTATTCTCCATGCATTCCAGTAACCTCAAGATGTCTGCGTTGGACCAATGGCCTTGGCTTCTAGGCAAAGCCATTTTGATGTCTTTGGCTTACTTATAAGATCCCAGTTATGCAAACACCAGAGTAAGAACACAGAGTTCCTTACTTTTAAGAGTCAGTGGATGATTTCTTTCTGGAAGTCCTGCAGTATGTGTGATTCTGTATTTCTGAGGAGAAAGAAAGGAAAGTTACTCTGCTTCATTGGGATTAATGAAAAAAATTACACCCTATTCGCCATATATCCCTTGTATAATTAATTTACTCTTAAGGATATAAATAAAATATAGCCCATTTCTGAATGAAAATCCATATTTGCCTTTCATATGCTACATGCGCAATATTCAACATCTCCGCACCCCACCCCAGCCTTCTTTCTGCCAGATCTCGCATGAACCGATCTTAAATTGAGTTGCATAAGGCAAACACCAGACCACTCATCACTTAAGAAGCTTAATAGAACAGAAATGCCCTGAAGACAGAGTCAAGAGCTAAAGTGGAAGGAGAAATGCCTAAACCGGAAAGACTGTTCATTCTACAGTGCCCTGAGTATCGCCATTTTCTAAGCACAGCCCAAATAGCCATAGCTAAAGGTGCAGATGAGAAGTTAAAGATGCAACAGGACAAGCCCAAGAGCTCCTCCAGACATGCATCCAACTGTTACCTTTTTATGAGGGAATGTGAACCTGTGATAAAAGACTGAATTAAAGATTCTCCAGGACCCATGCATGGGAATGAATGCTTTCTAGCGAACCATACCGCTTCTCCTTTTAAATATCAAGGATTTAATGACAATTATAAAACATTTCAATTTCAGTTGGTTAACTGTTCGTCATCTTTAAGCCTCAGTGAAAGTTTGGCTTCCTCCGGAAAGTGCCTCCAAAATACCTGGCATTTTCCATTATAGAACTTGAAAACATGGCAGATCCGATAACTACTGCTTATTTTATTTATTTATTTATTTTTACCAATTTTGTTTTGCCTAAAGTAATTCCTCTGGGACATGATTTCCCAACTAATTCTCCAAATTCTCATAACTCTTTCACTTGTCTTTTTAGGATAATCTTCTATTCTAAGACAAAGCCTAACTTCAGTAAAATTGTGTACAAACACATACAACATTAAATTAAACCAGATCTTAAATAGAGGGTGCATAAGGAGTGTAACATGGGGCCTTCGGGGGAAAATATGCATTAGAAGGGAAAGAGAACAGAGTTAAGATGTCAGTGGAGGTTGAAATTCTGAGAATGAGTTTCAGAATATGTGAGAATATTTTTGAGAACTATTTTTAATTCTCAGTAGAGTACAGAAGGATGTAGCCTTTGAATGACGTTAAAAATTCACTAGAAGTGTGAAGAATGTTATAATATCACATGCCTCAAAACACAAATTCCTTAATATAGAGATTAAAATGTTTTAAAATACTGGATAATAATTCAAGTCCATATTTGAGGTAGAAGATAAAATAAAGAATAGCTCATATATCAAATTTATTATGTGAAAAAGACTTTTGGAAAATTGTTCATAATAAATGAAAATGTAAATAAAAAATTAAAATTTATAATAAAGCATTAAAATAAACTGTGAAAAACTTAGAAGAGGGTAAACTTGAAAGTTATTGAATTTTTAACCTCAAAAATCTGAAAAAAAGTCAGTTCATTAGTGTCCTTAAAAAAAAAAAAAACTTAATAATATAACAGGAGAGTAATTAAGAAAAAAGTAACATTCACAAAGGAAAATAAAAAAATTAAAAAATATTTGATTCCATACTTTGTGTTTAAGATCAAAACATACTCTGAAATGGTTCAGGGATAAAAAGATGTCAAACTTCCAAATATATTGTAAGTGATGATTACAAAAAATAAATACATAAATAAATATAAGATGTATTCTAACTCAGAAAAAGGGGAAGTCACACAGACTTGATGTGGGAAAAGAGATGTGGAATACTCAGAATCTGAATTTAGGAAAAGAAGTACCGTCTTCCCAATTGTAAATGTTAGGATGATGCGTATAAAGCAGCGAAAATAAAAATACAGTTGTGTTTTTGTTGTTATGTGGCTCTTTTATGAGCCAGACATTTTTTCAAATTGCCAGTTAAAGAGCGTGGCCCCCCAAAATATGTGTCTAAGTCCTAACCCCTGAAACCTGTGAATATGACCTTTTGAAACTAGGATCTTTGCAGATGTAATTACCTTGGTAATCTCCTAATGAGATTAGTCTGGGTTTAGGGTGGGACCTAAGTCCAATGACTCGTATCATTATAGAAGAAATCAAAGGAAGATCTGAGACACATCGACAGCCATGTGGAGACAGAGGCGGAGACAGAGCTCACTGGAGCTATGCTGCCACAAGCCAATGAAAGCTAAATGTTCCCATCAGCCACCAGAAACCAGCAGACAGGGAGGGGCTGGATTTCTACTCAGAATCCCCAATGGGAACCAACTCTGTCAACATGTTGATTTTAAATTTTAGGTTTTCAGTATGTGAGAGAGCAAATTATTGTTTCATCTGTGATAGTTTATTACAGCAGCCCCAGCAAAGTAATACGCGAATGTTTTACACTTATTATTAATATCTTATTTTTCTCCTTGAATCTCTATGAGGTCATTTTATGCTTGCTGTTCTATTACTTCCATGATGAAACTGCGACCAGGTGTGGAGGCTCATGCCTGTAATCCCAGCACTTTAGGAGCCTAAGATGGGAGGATCACTTGAACTCAGGAGTTCAAGATAAGCCTGGGCAACAAGTGAGAAACCCCTGTCTCTTAAAAAAAGAAAGAAAGAAGCTGGGAAAAACTAAGAATTTATACAGGGCCCGGCACGGTGGCTCACGCCTGTAATTTCAACACTTTGGGAGGCTGAAGCAGGAAGATTGCTTGAGCTCAGGAGTTTGAGACCAGCCTGGGCAACATAGACAGACCCCATCTCTAGAAAAACAAAAATTTAGCCAGACCCACACTTGTAGTGCCTGTAGTCCCAGCCACTCTGGAGGCTGAGGTGAGAGGATGGCTTGGGCACAGGAGGGCAAGACTTCAGTGAGCCTTGATTGTATCAGTGCACTTCAGACTAGGCAACAGAGTGAGACCCTGTCTCAAAAAAATTAACCTTGTCAATTGTATGTGATTGCCCTCTTTTCTGTGTTAGAATACATCTTTTATTTGTTTACTTTTTATTTTTTATCATCATCACTTGTAAAATACTTAGAAGTTTAAGACATCCTTTTATCCTTGAACCATTTGAGGGTAAGTTTTGATCTTAAGTATAATGTATGGACTCCTGTGACTTTGTGAAGCTGTATGAATTCTTAATTTTTAATTTTTATTATTATTTTTTAATTTTTGTGACATAAAAAGTAAAAAATAAAAATAAATTAATAAATAAAAATGTATAACCTTCACAAAGTCACATGTTTTCTATTTTATAGAGTAAAAATATCAAAAAATAAAAAGAGGCTTTGAAAAGAACATTCAAACAACAAAACAGATTTTGTAAATTAAAAATACCATTACATAAATAAAAACTTCAGTGGAATATTAGGAAAATAAAAAAGTGCCTTTGAGCATTTTGGAAACTTTGCAGACGACCAAGGCTGCATGCAACCTGAAGTTACGGACAACATAGAACTTTTCATATTCTACAATAAATGTTTCCAATTAAATTCTAGATGTCATGTTACAGATAAAACTGTAAAATATCCAGGACTTTCCGTCCAGAAGTTCACAATTTTTATACCCAAAGAAAAAAATTAAAGGAAATACTCACCTGAATATTCTATAACTGGTCTGAACAGTGCTTGCAGGAAAATTCATGCATTTGGCTCAGGAGTTGGGTGTCCTCTGGGCTTTCTGGATAACAGATGTTATTCTCTGAGATTTCCACAGTCTAGCAAATTCCAAATGCCTCTATAAATAATAAGCCTTGCTTTTTGGAGGCCAATGTATTATAGGATCCTTAAAGCCCCTCCCTTATTAGGTTTCTGCAGTACAGAGGACCAATGAAAGGATTTACCCTTCCACCATTGTTTACATCAGCTCAATTTCTAATCTCTGTAAATAGCCCTCTACAAACACCCTCTAGTTGTGGTTAGTGCTGGTTTATCTTGTCATTTATTTATTTATTTATTTATTTTGAGAGGGAGTCACCCTCTGTCATCCAGGCTGGAGTGCAATGGCCTGATCTCGGCTCACCGCAACCTCTGCCTCCCAGGTTCAAGGGATTCTCCTGTCTCAGCCTCCCGAGTTGTTCAGATTACAGGCATGTGCCACCAGGCCCGGCTGATTTTGTAGTTTTAGTAGAGACACGGTTTCACCATGTTGGCCAGGCTGGTCTGGGACTCCTGACCTCTGGTGATCCGCCCGCCTTGGCCTCCCAAAATGCTGGAATCACAGGTGTGAGCCACCATGCCTGGCTTTTGTCATTGATTATTAAACAACACCCACGTGGCAAATTCATGTTTGATTTTCTGGGGCCCCAAGTCTACTTTCATTTCTGCTCCCACGTCTGATAGTATTTTTATATGATATTTGAATACATCATTCCATTCTTTGATAATTTCTGCCCTTTCTTCACTGAAATCTAGGATCTGCTACCATCTCACCTGGCTCATCGACAGGTAAATCCCTTCAGTACTGATCAATTTCTACCAGTCTTTAGATTTGAAGATCAAAATGCTAATGACCATGATGGATGGTTTTGGAAAAAGACAAGTAGAGCCTCAATGTCTGGCACCTATGGCTGATTTAATTTTAAACTCAGGGAAATGAAATAGGTACTGTGCATAAAAAATATTCAGGTGATTTTATTTAAAGCATTTTTACTAAATTCAAACTAATCAAAAAAACCTTTATTTAAATGACAACTTATTTGAATAATTTTTAAATTTTTATTTTTAATCAATATATAAAAATTGCACATATGTATGACATACAATATAATATTTTGATACATGTATAAATTGTGCATTGATCAAATTAGGGTTTGACAACCTCAGGCTTCATAATTTATAAAATAGACTTTTGCCATTTAAAAACTTTATATCTAAAGTTACCAACTAGTAATTAACTGAACATATCAAATAATAAGATATTACTTAAAAGAACCTAAATTAATAAAATGTTTAAATACATTTTGAGCTTTAAAATACAATAAATAAATATGACTTATTTTAGAAAAATTTCTAAAAAAGTATAGACAAAGGTGGATTTAGACAAAAACATGTACAGAAAAATATCAAAAGGACTAAACCCCTTGGAGATTTTAATGGTAAAAGCTTGCTGATATTATTTTTAAAATTATCATCTTTTAAAAAAACATTTTATGGCCATTTGTTAATGAGCATAAGCTTCTACTGAAAATGAAATCTTTGCTTCTATAAGAATATACTCTCAGATATGCATCTCTTATAGAGCTAACATAAATAATTATTTAGATGTCTGTAGTTACAATAAGCTTTATATGATGGGGTTTAGAAATATCTAGAAAGCAAGCCCTGGGGATAATTCTAACACATGCTACAGTTTGGGAATGTAAGCTCAAACTGTCATCCATCTAGTGACTTAAAGTTTGTCTTCTACTCTAAAATACATCAACACACACACATATATGTGCACATGTAAATATATACAAATAAAATATTGTAGTGAAATAAAATACCTTTTTTTGTTTGTTAGTTGGTGTTGAGAAAAGCTCTAGCTCTGTTGCCCAGAATGGAATGCAGTGGAACAATCATGGTTCACTGCAGCATCAAACTCCTGGGCTCAAGTGATCCTCCCGCCTCAGCCTCCTAAGTAGCTGGAACCAAAGATGTGTGCCACCATGCCTGGCTAATTTTTTAAAAAAACATTTTTATAGAAATGGAGTATCTCAGTGTTGTCCAGGCTCATCTTGAACTCCTGGATTCAAGCCTTCCTCCTACCTCAGCCTCCCAAAGTGCTGGGATTAAAGGCATAAGGCACTATGTCTGGCCTTGAAAGGAATTTTTATTCAGTCTTTTCCAGATGTTTTTGCTTTTTTCTGGTGCTAGTCCTAAGAAAATTAAGAAGTCCTAAGAAAACTCTTCCCAACATGTAAAACATGCATTCGTTGGTTATTATGGCAATATTCCCTGCATGAGTAATTTTGGTGGTTAGCTTCTGTCTCATCATTTCTAGAAAAAATTTTATTTCTGTCATAACCCCTAATGCTTAGTAAAAAGGCTCTTTCTTTGTATGTTGGTCTTCTTCTTGCAAATTAGACACCCAGTATCAGCTAGTATTTCATTGTTGAGGACCAGCCCTGTGCTGGAGAACTCTGGTTTCAGGGCCGCTACTTACCATGGTAGCTCATGGCTGTGCTCTTTCTTTCTTCCTTGTTCCACTTCACAACATCTCACACAGGACAAAAACAGAGCAGATATGTTCAGATCCTCTGATGTTAATTGAGGCCACTTTGCTTTTTGAGAAATACAAAATTTGACCCCAAAACATCCATCCAGATTGTATACAGAGTCTATAGTGACCTCTCCAATATGACCTCCTGCTTTAACAGAATCAGTTCAGGTTCTGGATATTCTCACCAATCTCAAGTTAGCTGCAACTGCTGGAGTTTTCATCAATTCAGATACAAAACCATTTACTTTCTTTGATTTCAACAATAAGAATCACAAAACTAGATCTTACATACAAAGTACACCTCACTAAATTGGGGGATTGGTAAATAAATTAAATTAAAAGTGGTTATCATCTATTGCTATTTATATATTTCCTTGTAACCATTTCCAGTCTTGGTACCCATCCCTCATCCGATGGTGCCTGGCGCTCCTCTGTGCAAATGTCCTCTCTCCTATTTCCACAAAGGCAAAATGCTGTTTTCTATATTTAGGAATACTATCAACTTGTTGTTACTGTTGCCATTACTTCATAGTCACCTACTCATATGTACAGTTTCTAAACTAAAATATGGCAAGACACTTGTCAATGAAGACAATTCCATGTGAAATTTTAGGCGTGTTTCTTTTTCTGCAGAGTAATTGACTGATTCTCAAATTTTACGGGGCTAGTTTAGGCACAGCTCTTCCCTCTGAGATCTTCATTTTCTGAGAAACTAACTCTGAATCTGTGTCCTGATGAGGATCTGCCGTCACACATACCACAAAGTGCCACCCGTGTCAATCATGAAAGTCCGCACTCAAACTGACACCCACAATTGATATCACAGCAGAGAAACAAGGACATAGAGCACAACTGAGAGGAAGAGCTGTCTCAGCCATGCAGCCAAATGCTTAGGACCAAATAAGGAATCCACGCCTCACACTCTCTGGGTTGGAGAAGATGGGACCGCATTAGATAAGTTGGTTTTTCGTTTGTTTGTTTGTTTGTTTGCTTGTGAGATGGACTCTTGCCCTGTTCCCCAGGCTGGAGTGCCCTGGCACGATCTCGGCTCGCTGCAACCTCCGCCACCTCGGTTCAAGCAATTCTCCTGCCTTAGCCTCCCAATTGGCTGAGATTACAGGCACCCACCAACACGCCCGGCTAATTTTTTATTTTTATTTCTAGTAGAGACGGGGTTTCACCAGTTGGCCAGGCTGGTCTTGAACTGATGACCTCAGGTGATCTGCCGCTCTCAGCCTTTCAATGTGCTGGGATTACAGGCGTGAGCCACCGCGCCTGGCCTAGATAAGTACTTTTGAGGGATAAGATGGTAATACCTGAAATATTTGGCTAGAGATGTTCCTATATTGTTTTTCCTTCCATCTCTCTGTCTGTTACTTGTATCCTAGACTAACAACCAAGGCTCCTTTCCATGGAAATTATTCTACTCTCTTAGCCGTTGCCTCTTTCTGCCTATAGAACATCTTGCACACCACTACCTGACCAGATTTTATAACTCAGCATTCAAGTGAAGCTCCTATTATAGTCCAAACTCTTCCTTATGGTATCCTTGCTTTTTCAGTACTAATCTGAGATACTCCTGCTGCTTTTCTTCAGAACAAATAGCTCTTTCAATAAAGCTAATGTCAGGAAACTTGCCATGCAAATAAACACAACAAATACATTGAAACACAATCTATTTTATTTTTTTCCGTAACAAACCTCTTAAGTGAATTTATGTCCTTAATGAAAGAGTTGTTTGCTTTTCCAAGTTCTGCATTTTCTTTTCTAAATTGTTCCCATTTTCCTTATACTTTCTACAATATTCTCATGATGCTTCATTGTTTCTTTTTGGGCCAGCCTCTCTCTCTTCTCCACTGCCTTTTGAAAAGCTGAGCAGTTGGACCTGGGAAAGATGCCCTACCCGCTCCAGGCACAATGCTGATAGAGGATGCCAATCTGGGATGATGGCACATTTTCTGTGACAGCTGGTACCACAACCTGGTTACTGGCTGCTAGCATTCTCTGCCCATCAGTGGTCTCTAGATAGTGCACTGTGTACGTCACCAGCAATAGAGTGGCTCCTCTAATCCGTTATCTTTTCTGCAGTCCTTGTGCACCAAGAGTATCATTACTAGTTAGTTCTAAAGCTCCTCACTGAGTAATGGCAGTATGCTGCCCACTGATAGTTTGGTAAGCTGGAGCTTGTACCATCACTGCAACAATAGCAGATGACACTGCTTTCTCATCTTCATACTTTTCTCTAATTCCTGGCTTTCCAGGTGCATGGAAGGATACACTACTCAATATTATCCTGTTGGAAATGCTCTTGGACAGTATCTGTCTTACCTGTTAAGAATCAGATATCCATGAACTGTATTCTGAGAATCTTTACCCTTCATACTTATGAAGATATGAGTTGCAGAAAAACACTTCTTAAATCTTTGGTAGAATTCTTCTGGACCACTCTCGATATAAGAAGCTTCCCTGAATGACTCCAGCTCTGTGGAAACCATGTGGATCCTCCATGCACGATGCTACAAAAAAAAATCACAGAAATTTGTCTTGATCATCCTTTTTGATTCGTACAGGCTTCTTCCTTCCTATTAAAGTGATTGTTTTATTAATAGGATTAGGGTAATGTAGTGTTCTCTGTGCATGTTTCCCGAATATGTTTGGAAATAAACTACAGGTGAGGGAAGAGACTCACAAGGGAATTCCAAGTGGCTGGGATTAAAGAATGGGTGAGTGAATAAATGATCTGTTTCCAAGATTGGATTAAAAGAAAAAATTGCCACTGATCTCTTTTCCACATTGTGATTATATTGCCCTCTTCTCTCAGTTGTCTCTAGATTTTCTGCCTATCTCCCAGATTATTCTGCCTACTTCCCAGAAAATTCAGAAAGAAAGATATTTTCTTTCTGAAATTTTCAAGTAATAAAGTAATGAATTTAAGCTCCCCCTATAAAATAAGCTCATGTGTATTCCTAAAAGTTAGAAAGGTTAGAAGTATAAAATTCCAGTATGTATTAGGTGACTGTCCTCAGACATTTTAAGGAAACCTCAGATGAGTATCAAGGATAGAAAATTAAATCCTAAAATACTATAGAAATATGAGATAAATGTAAAAACATTCTGTTAATTCAAATTTTTAAAAATTCCATTTATTTGGACTGTGCCCCAACAGACCAAATCAAAATGCAGCTATTCATGCTAAAGTTCTGCATCCCTGAGTTTTTAATTACATTGTTTACCTGACTTAGTAAAAAATCAGGACGGATGCATAATAGCCAAATGCCAAAACAGGCCAGCTTTAGCCAGCATGATAAGGAAGTCCTCTATTCTTTCATCTATGCAAGAAGAGTAACCTGATGTTAACCATTTCGTTTGTTGTATTATTTTGTTTCTTTGTTCCTGTTCAAGAAACCTTACAGAAACTGGCTCTTGTCCCATACCCAGCACAGAAACTCTCTATTTTTGGATGAGATATTTTCTTATTTTTGAATCACAGATAGAAGCCAATTTGATCATTTAGCTAAATTTGCAAAAATTTTGTCTTTTCATATCTTCAAATATACAATGAGAAAACCTGAAGAGATATGAGAAAATCTGGCCAAAATTACACACACACACACACACACACACACACACACACACACACACACACCAGGAGTTGAACTGAGAACAGAAATAACATTTTCTGATTTGAAGGCAGTAGAATTTTTATTGTCTAATAACAGTAACTTTATTTTACATAATCTTGAATTTTTGGTTACTAGCAATGAGTCAGAGGAAAGCTCACGGGAGGACACCTGGGTAGACATTCCTCTCTGAGTCTGCAGCATCAACAGCTATAGTTAGTTGAAATGATAAATTAAATTATGCTGGCTAAATTGAGAACACAAGACAAGAACTCTATGTATGCTACTATTATGCATTTGCTTTATTTTGCCACAAACAACTTTCCTTTCTTTTCTTTTCTTTTCTTTTGAGACAGAGTCGTACTCTGGCACCCAGGGTGAAGTGCAGTGGCATAATCTCAGCTCACTGCAGCCTGCACCTTCTGGGTTCAAGCAAGTCTCCAGCCCCGTGTCTCAAGTAGCTGGGATTACAGATGCCCACCACCATGTCTGGCTAATTGTCGTAATTTTGGTAGAGACAGGGTTTCACTATGTTGCCCAGGCTCGTCTCGAACTCCTGACCTCAAGTTATCTGCCCGCCTCAGCCTCCCAACATGTAATTTTCTTTTTTTAAGTATATGGTTAACACATCTTAGTTCCTTCCTGGGCTCATATTCCTTGATGTGATCTTTATGCTACGGCTTTCCCAGAATTTCATCATAGACTGTGATCTCTTCGCATTTTGTATACTCTTCCTTAAATTTCATATCACTTCTCTGGTTTGAACTACACACATACTATGTTTCCACATCAGTTTTTAATTTTATTTCTATGAAGAATTTTACTTCTGCCCCCCAAAATGTGACAAGGCAAATGGATCAATAACCTCTTCACGAGGTGAGAAGGAATCTTAGGTTTCTGATATAACTGGCAAGGTTCCCAGTGTCTTACCTTAATTTTATTTCTGAATTTTAGGAATGTCCCAGGTGATAATAATTATAATAGAAGTTATCAAAACAGAAGAATGTAATAAATTTTTGGTTTAATGGCTGAGAAAATTTACCAACCTATATCTTAAATGTCCTTAGTGGCTAATACCACCTGTATGTACAAGTAAATCTAAGCTAAATAAGATTAGCTACAAAATTTTCTTTGAATAAATGACAAACAAAATTGGTAACAAGGTAATTGAGAGTGTAATGGCTGCTGCTTATGGAAATTTTAGTGTCAATAGAGAATGCTCAGGAACTTTAGGTGGAAACAGAAAGGAAAATTGGGTTGAAAGCCCAGAAGGTAAAATTCCACAATGTGAGATCACTTGGAGAGACACAAATTTCAGAAGGTGATAGAATTTTCCTGTTGCCGAGTAAAGTGCTACAAAACATGTGTAGGAGGAGAAGAGAGAAAGTTAACTAAGCAGTCTAGGTAGTACAGACAGAAAGAATAAGGAAGCATTGCTGATAAGTATTTTCATAATTTGGATAATCACCTTGATTTAGCCACCAATTTAAGAGATTAAAAGACACATAAGATCCTTCTTGCCATATGATCCTCAGTTAGCCAGTTGCTGAATGGGGAAACACTGGACACCTCGACAGTGGTGAAAAGCAGAGTTTACTTATTCCTGAATACTCATTCCCGGTTCGAACTAAAAGCAACTCTTTAGTAAAGGATCACCTGATTTTCATTGAACACAAGCTCTGGGTATTTCTTCTGCTCTGTCTGTCATTGAATTTTTTTTTTCTTCTAAATCAAAGAAAAAAAAAAGATAAAGAAAAGGCCAGACACAGTGTCACATGCCTCTAATCCCGATGCTTTGGGCGATTGAGGTAGGAGGGTTACTAGATTTCACGACTTTGAGACCATCATGGGCAACATAGCAAGACCTTGTCTCTGGCAAATAAAAACAAAAATAAAAAATAAATAAAATAAAATAAAAATAAATAAAATAAAGGAAATAAAAATAAACATTTAATGTGTATTCAGCATTTCCAGATACATCTGGCAGCTCAGTGTGCTGCATGCCTAAGCTTGAAGGAAGAGGATGGGAACAGAAGTATTGTAGAAAGCACCACGTCATTTCCTGACATTCAGGTCCTCTTGCTCAGGATGCTTTTTCAGTTTTCTCGCTGAACAGGAGATGGCAACAAATTTCACTTTCTTGCAAATAGAGATGAAATCCAGTTGTTGAAAGTAACAGTCGTTTTTTTTTGATTACCTCCTCTATTTAGATAAGTAGATGTAAAAAATAGCCCCCATTTACTTAAAATTGGGATCTTTATTAGAGTAAATTAGCCTGTGCCCTAACTGATCCCATGAGAGGTTTTTGCTGATTCTGGGTATCTGTGAGAAATGTACCCTCAGGTTTATGAGACTGAATGAATTACAGATGATACAAATTCTTTACATATTAGTCATAATTGATCCCTTGTTTATAATCCAAGATATTTTCTTTCCTTTTTTTGTTTTAACATAGGTTTCTCAATTTATTATAAAAATATGCACTCTCTATCATCTGTATTCCTCTTTATGATGTAAGTGTGTTTTGTATATTTCTACAGTAAATGAGATGGAAATCATTTTATTCTTAGTGAGTAGCTTAATATGTATGTCAGTTTAATTCCCGACAGTCTCCATCATTGTAAGTCCTTTTTTATATTTTCTTATCACTAAGAATCTTCGTATTTTCCTGGTACATGTTGGCCATCCTCAGAAAATTTCACAATCAACCTTATAGAATAAAAATAAGATACAATTGTTTCAAATATATAAATAATGAAAGTTCATTAGCATGTGAATCTTGACACTTCATTAGCATGTGAATCTTGACACTAATCTTCTTACGTTTTTTGACATTATCCTTTAATATTTTCTATCATATTATGCTACCCATATTTTGGGAAAATTTCCTAATTCTATTACAGAAAAATATTTGTTTATATTAATTCTTTTATTCTTATGTAAGGAGAATATTAAGAACTTCATATATCCAGAGCACAACAATCCATGTCTAGAACAAAGCAGGCATTTTTGTAAACATATATTCACATACAACTTTTTTTTTTTTTTTTTTTGAGACGAGGTCTCATTCTGTCACCCAGGCTGGAGTACTGTGGTGCAATCTTAGCTTATTTTAGCCTTAAACTCCCAGACTGAAGGGGTCCTCCCATCTCAGCCTTGTGAGTAGCTAAGATTACAGGTGTGAGCCACCACGTATGGCTTATATATACATATATATTTTGTAGCGATGGGGTGTTGCTGTATTGCCTAGGCTGGTCTCAAACCTCAAGCAATCTTCCTGCCACGACCTTCCAAAGTGCTGGGATCACAGGCATGAGCTGCCATGCCAAGCCATAAAAAACTTTAAATTGTGTTTTTGTGTAAACAGTTGAAATGCGGTGATGAAGGGTGCTATTAAGGTTATGAAAAAAATGGCTTTGAGCCTAAATGTAAAAGATTACATAAACTCCATTTTATTGACAAGATGAGATGCAAAGTCATCTCCTGAGAAAGAAAGAGAAGGTGGATTGGGCTTGATGTTGCAGTAAAGTTATAGATTATTCAGTGATGAGATGGAGTGAAAGTGGTAAATTATGTGGTAAATATTATTTTTATTAATATTTTAATATTACAGCAGATATTTATTTTTTATTGTGTTAGGTATTATAATAAACTCTTTAGTGGCACTGAGAAATGACAACATGCTAGCAGCCCTCGCTCGCTCTGGGTGCCTCCTCAGCCTCGGTGTCTACTCTGGCCGCGCTCCAGGAGCCCTTCAGCCTGCTGCTGCGCTATGAGGGACCCCTCTGGTGCTGGCCTAGGCCAGAGCTGGCTACCTCTGCTGAAGGGGAAGTGTGAAGAGAGACGCGCCAGCAGGAGCCTGGGCCGCACGCATCTCTTGCGGGCTAGCGAGGGTTCGGCAAGTCCCGCACTCAGCGCAGCCCGTCGGAGCCTGCTGGGCTTGATAGGAGGCTCAATCCCGTGCGTGGGACCCCTGTTCCCTTTTCGCGGGATCGTTAGCCACGTTAGTAGGTCTCTGTCTCTTTCTCGCTTCCCCTCTTTTCCTCTAGATTGTCTGGGACGAGATCCCTCTGGGATGCCAGAGTGCCCGGGCTAGGTGCCACAAAGTCCAGCGGCAAGTGCCAGTGAGAGGTGAAGCCAGTTGGGCTTCTGGGATGGGTGGGGACTTGGAGAACTTTTCTGTCTAGCTAAAGGATTGTAGACGCACCAATCAGCACTCTGTGTCTAGCTAAAGGTTTGTAAACACACCAATCAGGGCTCTGTGTCTAGCTAATCAGGTGGGGACACAGAGAACTTTTCTGTCTAGCTAAGGGAGTGTAAAAACTCCAATCAGCACTCTGTCAAAATAGACCAATCAACTCTCTGTAAAATGGACCAATCAGCTCTCTGCAAAATGGACCAATCAGCAGGACGTGGGTGTGGCCAGAGAAGGAATAAAAGCAGGCCACCTGCGCCAGCAGGCGCAACCTACTAGAGTCCCTTACCACACTGTTACACTGTGGAAGCATTGTTCTTTTTGTTATTTAAAATAAATCTTGCTGCTGTTCACTGTTTGGGTCCACCCCGTGTTTATGAGCTATAACACTCACCTCAAGGTCTGCAGCTTCACTCCTGAAGTCAATGAGACCACGAACCCACCAGAAGGAAGAAGCTCTGTACACATTTGAACATCTGAAGGAACAAACTCTTGACATACTGTCTTTAAGAACTGTAACACTCACCGCCAGGGGCCGTGGCTTCGTTCTTGAAATCAGCGAGACCGAGAACCCACCAATTCTGGATACAGCATGATGTGACCTGACTCTCAACCAGTGGTCGTTGGAATGTTGGTCTATTACCCACATTTCACTGGAGACGGCAACACACTGCAAAATGAAGAGTACAGATGTGGGAGACTAGTTGCCTTAGTTCAGATCTGTTAAATTTCCCACAGTTCAGTTTTTTATTGTAAATATTGGATTATAGAGGTTTTTATATTTGAAGCATTTAAAACACATGCGTACCACATGATAAGTTCTCAATAAATGTAAGCTTTGTAAGCTCTCATCACTAGGCTTGATAATTGACAACACTTTGGCAAAGTGAGTTAAGCTCAATGCAGGGAAGCTGAGCCTCAAAATGGGGCTTAACCTTTGAGAGTCCTTGACTTTGCCCAGGAAAGGATTCAAGGGCAAGCCAAAGGTAGAGGTAAACAGCTTTATTGAAGCAGTAGCGTTTCAGCTCTGGTGATGTTACAGCTTTGTGGCTGCTCCCACAGAGCAGGGCTACTCCATGGGCAGAGATTAGCAGCTCACAGCAGTTTTGCAGTCATGGTTACACCTACTTTTAATAGCATGTAGACTAAGGGGTTTATGCAGAAATTTCTAGAGAAAGGGTAATTTGGGATGTCAAGTCATTGCCATGGAATGGGTGATAACTCCTGGGTGTTGCCATGGCAATGGTAACCTGCTCTGGCACACTGGTGGGCGTGTCTTTTGGAAAGCTGCTTCTGCCTGGTCCCTGTTTTAGCTAACCTCAACTTGGTTTGGTGTCTGAGCCCTACCTCGAAAGTCAAGTTTAGCCTCCTACCTTGAGGAGACTTGTTCAAGACCCCACAGCAACACTCATTCCCCGGTATGGAAGACAGTGATGTTGACCAAGCTTTAGGTTTTGTTTTTTTTCTGTTAACAAGCATTTGTTAATTTCCACAGTATACCGAAGAAGTACGTTTGATAGTGGAAACACACTAGTGAATGTGTAATTAACTGTGGCAGAACAATTATTAAAACAAAAACCAAGGGGATATTGTATGATGGTGAAATGAGAATAGAAAGAAGGGAGTATATGTCTACATTTTGTTCTTCTATTCTCCCATCTCTTCTCTTATGGCCTGGGGGATGACCTCAAATTAAATTAAAATGAAACAAACTGCCAGGAATGGTGGCCAGCTCCTATATTCCTGACTACTCCATAGGCTGAGGGAGGAGCATCCCTTGAGCCCAGGAGTATGAGTTCAGCCTGGGGAACATAGTGAGACCCTATCTCCATTTTAAAAATTCAGTCTATCTCTCTATCCAAATATATATAAATAAAATGAATAATGAATAACTGCCATGACTTTATCACACACCCACACATTAGGCTTCTGTGCTAATACACTCTCTATACTCCCTGCATCCCAACAAACAGGAATCTTTCTAAAAAGATGAAAAATGGATGAGGTTTAAAATTAGCTTCTAGAATTTAATTGGTTTTCACATCAACCTAAAATCCTAAAAAACGCAAACCATTAAATTAATGCTCCTATCTTTAACATCAAAGTTTTCAAATCTCTCTTATGCATTTTTAAATTTAATTATTCAAATATTTGTTACATTTCCATTATGTCCTAGACGTTATATTAACTGATTGTTATTATTTCCTGGAGTGTAGTCGTAAATAAAACTGACATTTCTTTAAGTTTTAGATTTTATACTATTAGAAAAGAAAAGCACCAGTGGGCTTGTGTTTCATTGTGCTCTTTTAGCTTACCTTTCCACAGCTGGCTGGTGTTAACCAGCTCAATTAGACCCTCTGCCTTTTTGCAAGGACAGAGGGCTTTCTGTATCCTGGGGTTGTTGCCTGAGTGTACCAGAGAACTCGGATCATATGTGGGCTTGGAGAATGAGTGCAAGATTTATTGGTTGGTGAAAGCAGCTTTCAGCAGATAAATGGTGTGCCAGAAGGGGGATGGAGTGGGAAGGTGGTGTTCCCCTGCAGTAAAACGTCTCAGCAGCAGGGCTCGCCTCCAAGAGCTCTCAGCTGATTTCCATGTCATTCTACCATTAATGGCTGCCAGCATCTGCTGGTGCCTGTCAGTGTGCTCTTCTTCTTTAGTGCCAGACTTCTCTAGAGGCTTACAGGCTTCTAACCCTTTACAGTTTGTTTAATCTATTTTTCAGAGCATCAACTGATTATATATATGTGTATGTGTGTGTATATATATGTGTGTGTGTGTGTATATATATATAATGTAAACAACAAATCATCCACACTTTCTCACTTCTAAAATAGTTTCCCCTTCTCTCTCCTGCTGCTTCCCCTGGTGATTTTCCCACCATCCAGGAAACAACACTTTATCTTTCACCTATCCAGGATTTGGAGGTATAAAAAAATCAGAAATTGAGATGCTTGTTTTCTTTCATTCTTCTTTTGTTTATTTATTTATGTATTGGTGTTTGCTTTTTCTCCTTTTTTTTCCCAATACTTTCTTTGCATCTGTCCAGTAAAATCACTGAGTATGGTGACATAATAGATGACTACATAAGGTGGGGGAGCAAAAGTAGAACCAGGAAAAAGTAATATTAATATCTTGATCATGTATGCCTTCGCTTTAGTAGATCCTGTTTGATATTTGTGGAAACTGAAAGAACACCTGCTAAAATCCAGGTACACGTGCACCTGTGTAATATGTCTCCAAACACCTGTAAAAAAAAAATAGAAAGGGTTTGTGCTTTCTACAAGATGAATCTTCCACTAAGTTCAGTGTGAGATCTGGAGGCAGTTTCTGAAAATATTATTTTCCTGCCATTTTCCCTTCTGGAAAGCATTTTATATTTCTTCTCTAATGAAAAACATAGTCTATCATATTGTTATGAATTAATGTCCTAGTGAAGTCAGAGTCTTGAAGACATTCTTTATACAAGTGAAGGGAGAAAAGGCCCAGAGTCTATCTTCTGCAGTAACCATGAAGAACCTATCCAGTCATCTTCCCTAGGCCCTATTATAAAAGTGAATGGATGAAAAATAATATTTAGATTCCCCAAACTCCCAGTCTTGCCATGTCTCCAAACTGACCTAATGTAAATGAATTTCTCACTATTTTATAAATGTTCAAAAAGCCAAATATATTATTGACCGTAGATGGGGAATATTTATTAGGGCTGTTACCTTGACCATTCCACAAAGTTTTGTTGCTGGTGGATAAAGTAAGAGGGACCTTTTTTTCTGGTAAAATCCCTGGGAGGGGCTATACTCTACCCACAAAGTAGCATGAGTTATGGAAATGTGTTTCTGGAAAGAAGTCGTGGAAATACAGGGAAGAAGGCATTTCAGGAAAGAGGAAGAACACCTGTGCACATGAATGTTCCACATCCTGATACCCCATGGTCAGTCAGTACCTGGATTAGCTCCACATCTGGTTTATGGGACTTTTCCTTCAGCTCCTCATACATTCCTTTTAAAATCTCCCTCTCATGGGCCATTCTGGCATCGCTTTTATGGAGTTGCTAAAAATTGTCTTCGTCCTCCTTTTGAAGCATCTGCAAGTGATGTTGCTGTTCTTCATGGAGAAATGCAGGCATCTTCTGATATTCAGCTCTGATTGCTTCTATCTTTAAATTCACATAATCCTGCAGTAACAACGGGTTAGTCAAAAACAAAACCGACGTACTCATCTCCTATTGAATCTCACTGGTTCCTCTTTGTCTCTTGAACATCCCATATTTTAACTCTTAGTCTTGCCAATTCTCAGACTATACGAAATTTTACTCTGTTTTCTTTTCTGCATGAAGATCAACGAACATAGATGTATCTAACCAAATATATTCACTTTATTCGTGATAAAGTGTTTTTTCTAAGATAGTCATAAAGAAGAAAAACAAATTGGATTCCTCTTTTCCAACTCATATTTATAGAAAAGTAAGACAGTTCGGGCTTAATAGTTAGACTCTAGAGCTATATTGACTAGAAAGGGAATAATTATTTTCATTTCTGAAATTTGGGGCAAGTTATTTAAATTCATTATGTGTGAAATAGCCTCAGACTAGCATGCTCAACTCAATGCATTTCACCAAGCAAAACCTATGCTAATAAGGCTTCATTTATGATCTGGCCTTCTTTGTCTATCTAATCTCATTTCTTTCCATTGTTTTTCATACTGACTTTAACATAAAACATAAACTTCTTTGTGGTTCCTCAGCCCTCAAAATAAACACAAACTCAATATTACTGCACATGTTGTTTTCTTCACCTAGAATTCTCTCTGCCTCTCTTTCTCTCTCTAAGCATACACACACACACACAAACACACACACACACACACACACACACACACACACTTGTGTTTGCCTTCCTCTTCAAGACGTTGTCTCAATATGAATTTTTCATTGAGGCATTTTCTGACCACCCTGTTTAAAACTCAAACTCTCGTCTCCAGTCCATGGCCTCTGTTCTCTTTTTCTAAGACCTTGGTATTTCAAATGAGCTAAGGATTCTTCATTTGAAATTGTCCAGTTGGAAGTCCTCTCTGACAGAGTTTCCCTTACTTGTGATTCAGAAATCCATCCACAGTCTCCTTTTAAAGTTACTTTTTGGATTTATAAAAAGTTGCATTCCACAAATACACTTTTAACCCCTCGGTTTTTCTGGACCATCAAAGCATTGCTCATCTGCCGAGAATCACAGGTATTGAAAACCACCTTAGACAGCAAATTCTCCCTTATGCAGGCATTTTTCTGAACCTGGACAACTGTTACTGTTTATTCACCCGGAAAATTTCCATTCATTCTTCAAGACTCATGCAAACGATTTGATCTTTGATTCTATATGTCCAATAGATAGATATTTGTGGCAGTTTCCATGTTGTACTGGGATTGTTGCTTTACTAGTGTGTCTGTTACTTCTACTAGATTGTGAGGTCTGGTTGAAAGAACTTCTCCTTTATTGTATCTCTGCCTCCACTTTCATGGCCTGACCTGGATTTTACCATTATAGAAAACTGCTAATCACAAAGTCTGCAATCACAAAGTCAAGAATCTCGCTTTATAATCAACGTTTCTTTTCTTTTTAGATTGGTTTTTCTGTATATGAGTTTAAATCTGTCTGATTACCTTTGGACCACAGTTTATTACTCTCTGTGGTTCTTGCAATTTGGGGGCTTCATCTTTTTTAACACTTCTCTTACTTCGGATCTTCTAGTGCATAATTTCAAAAATTTAGCACGAAAGGTAAGAAAGCAGAGTGCAGTTGATCATGCCTGTAATACCAGCCATTGGAAGGCTGCAGTGGGACGTTTCATGATTCAAGAAGTTTGAGACCAGCCTGGTCGACACTGTGAAACCTCATCATTACAGAAAAAAAACTTTACCCGGGTGTTGTGGCAAGCACCTGTAGTCCCAGCTACTGGGGAGGCTGAGGTGGGAGGATTGCTGGAGCACAGGGTGTTGAGGCTGCAGTTAGCTGGAATGCCCATCTCTGCATGCCAGCCTGGGTGACAGAGGAAGACCCTGTCTCAAAACAAACAGATAAACAAAAAAGTAACAATACAAAATATCTTACTAACGTTTGTAATGTTAATCGTGTCGAAACCTATTGGATATATTTGGTTAACGATTTTTATTAAAATTAATTTCAGTTGTTTCTTATTGTTTTATAATGTAACTAGAAAATGTATTCCCACTATGCAGCCATAAAAAATTATTAGATCATGTCTTTTGCAGGGACAGGGAAGGAGCTGGAGGCTATTATCTTTAGCAAACTAACACAGGAACAGAAAACCAAATAGTGCATGTTCTCACTTATAAGTGGGAGCTAAATAATGAGAACATATGGACACATAGAGGGGAACAACACACGCTGGGACCTATAGGAGGGTGGGGGATTAGAAGAGGGAGAGGATCAGGAAAAATAACTAATGGGTGCTAGGCTTGAGACCTGGTTGATAAAATAATCTATACAACAAACCCTGATGACACAAGATTACCCATGTAACAAACCTGCACATGTATTGCTATACTTAAAATAAAGGTTTAAAAAAGTATTTTCTTCTCTTTCTTTTACAGTGTCTCTGTAAATGCATGAATTAAAGAAAAGCAATGAATATATTTTTCATGGGATAATATTCAAGATATATAGAAACAAAACTTCTGAGATTTAATTAAAACAATGTTAAGAAGAAAATGTATAGCATTATATTCATCTGTTATTTAGAAATAAAGCATTAAATTCATCTGTTATCTATCCCAAAGAGCCAGATAAACAAGAGTAAATTCATGCCAAAATCTAAAAAAAAAAATTGTAGAATATTGATTAAAAAGCATACAGTAGATAAAATCAATGAAGTAGGCTTTTTTTTTGTTTGTTTGAGACAGAGTCTCACTCTGTCACCCAGGCTGGAGTGCAGTGGTGCGATCTCGGCTCCTTGCAACCTCTGCCACCCAGGTTCAAGTGATTCTCCTTCCTTAGCCACCCGAGTAGCTGGGATTACAAGCACGTGCCATCACGCTTGACTAATTTTTGTATTTTTAGTAGAGCTGGGGTTTCACCATGTTGGCTGGGCTGGTCTCAAACTCCTAACCTCAAATAATCCACCCACCTCGGCCTCCCAAAGTGCTGGGATTACAGGTGTGAGCCACCACACCCACCAAAAGTAGGCTCTTTAAATAGATCAATTAAATTGATAAATTCTTAGTGAGACTCAATTAAAAAATGGAGAAGAGGAGTTCAAATCAAAAATAAATAGGCCAACACTTAGGTCATCCACAAATTAATATGTTAATAAGAAGATTTTAAGATGACTTTTATGTTCATACACTTGATGATTTAGATGAAATGAGAAATTTCCCTGAAAAACATATCTGACAAAAACCAACAGAAGAAACCATAGACAAATCTAAGATATGATTTAGATTCTAAAAATTTACCCTATTATTTAAAAAACAAAACTTCTCCCAGCGAAAAACCTGGTGATCTTTTTCAGTGAAATATTCACAACATTTAAGAAAAAAAAATCACACGCTTTTAGACAAACCCTTCTAGAGAACAGAAAAAAGCAGTAATACTTCCCAACTTGTAACTTTGGTTTTCTGTTGTGTTTTCTTTTACTTTTTGTAAACAGCTTCTCTCTCTGTTGCCCAAGCTGAAGTGCGATGGCAAGATCATAGCTCACTGAAGCCCAGAACTTCTAGGCTCGAGTGATCCTCCTGTCTTGGCCTCCCAAAGGGCTGTGATGACAGGCTCTAGCTGCTGTGCCAAGCTCCAACATATAATTTTGATATTCGATCCTGAAAAGTGTGTTACAAGAAATGCAAATTGCAGTACAGACTCTAAAATAAATATAGGTGCAACAATTCAAAAAAGCTAGCTAGTCAAATCTTGTGAGAGATAAACTCATATCATCTCCAAGTGGAGCTTATTCTAGAAAGGTTGACTAATGTAACATCAGAAAATGAAATAAGTAATCACGACATGAACAGGATGAAATACATATCATTGTTCCTGTAAAAAGAGGAAGAAAATATTTGATACAATGAAATGGTCATTTATGATTTTGAAAGCACTATTAAAAACAAATAGCCATGAACTTTCTCTAATAAGAATGTAATAACTTAGAGCCAGTACCATATTTAATGGA
The DNA here is from genome assembly GCF_000001405.40 of Homo sapiens. Taxonomy (NCBI): domain Eukaryota; kingdom Metazoa; phylum Chordata; class Mammalia; order Primates; family Hominidae; genus Homo; species Homo sapiens. Next base: position 365,186 of record NW_025791760.1, on the reverse strand, counting down.
GAATTTGAAAGCTTCTACCCAGGAATGGGAATGAGATATAAATCCTGTTATCATCACTTGTGTTCAACACCTTGCTTGATCTCCTTTTCAATGCAACTAGACAAGAAAAAGAAGTAAATAATGTGAGGGTTGAATAGAAATAAAGATATCATAATTGCATTATCAGCAAAACATGACAGTTCAGTTAAAAAATAACTCTCTAAGCCATTAGATATATTCGTGAATTGAAAAACAAATTGAATCATGCATGCTTCTAAGACAATAGTTAAAAGTGAGAATAAGCCAGATGCATTGGCTGACACCTATAATCCCAGCACATATATGTGTATATATATATATATATATATATATACACACACACACACACACACACAATTACTGTGAATATACGAATACTATATTATATAAAAATATGCCTAACACACCCATACACCCCACACCCACACACAAGGCTTTGAGAAGGGCACTTTGTTCTGGGAAGGAGGCTTATGAGCAGTGAGTTTGGGAACCAATCCCAGGCAATTTAGCTTCAAGACATTGCTCTTAACCATGATACCATATTACTCTCAGCTGACTTTTTCATAGTGGGTGATAATACACAGTAGCCTCATGGCAATTCCAGGAAATGTAAGCACTCAAGAATTATTTTGAAATCTGCAGGAAATGTTGCTTGCTGTCTTCTTTATCCCTTGTTCTCTACAACTTTGCTTTTCCTCACCAAGGGTTATTTTTCTGACACATTTATGGGTGCATTCCATTAAAGAAAGAGTTTTACTTGGTGTCAGGCACTGACAGAAGCTCTCTTTCTCCATATATGCCTGAACTTGACTGTCCTCCTTCTGTTCCAATTATTTAACCCTGAATACCTTTTACCCTTTTAGATGTCACAAGGATGTGACTGAGCAGTTTCAAGGGCACCAACTTTTGCTTTCTCCTCCTCCCTTAGAATCTTGCATCTGCATTGCTGGTCTCAGACAGAACAGGGAACCCCTATTTCCCATTCTGGGATATTTTAATGATCAACTCTTCTTATGTTGTGAATTTGAAGGGCATGGACAGATCATTGCAAAGCGGACAGACAGGGACCTGCGTTCTGAGAACTGGGCCAGAAAACTGACAGAGGGACAGAAGAATTTCAGAGTGATTCTGGCAGGCATCATGGTTCAGTACGGGCCAGAGGAGTGGAACATATGGGCACAGGTTGAGAGGACTGCGACAAGACAGGGCCTATCTCCTTTGCAGCAGAATGTTAATAGATATTATATTTTAGTAAACAGAGGACATTTCTCTGAGTCAGCATCAAAAACTTTCACAGTCTGGAAGAATGAACAGTCACAGGACCGAGCCTCACCTTTCCTTCTGAGTATGAGAGGCTACAAGGCAATGAGAATGGAACAGCTTTTATCTGAGGTTAAAGCCAGTGTCTCTCTCTTCAGCCCACACTTACTGGTAAGGTCCAGTGGATGACTCAGCTACAGGTTTCTGAATTTCTGGCTTTTGAGGGAAAGACTTTGTCACCCTCTATGCTGAAGGTATTCTACGTACTATGAACCCCAGTCAGTGGTTCTTAACATCAAGAAATCTTGGGAAGTACAAGGCATTCAGAAGGCCTACATGAATAGTTTGCAGCCGCGTATAGACATCAGAAGGCGGTTCCTGACAAGGATGCCCTGACCTTTTTCATCTCATTGACATAGAATTACTGTGTCTCTCCCTGGTCATCTTGAAGGAGATGGACCACCCCTTCCCCCCCTCTACTCCAGTGTCATGTGCATCTTCCTCAGTGATTTTGCTGTGCTGTGTTCATAATGATTGTCCAGTTGATACCAAATCTTGAAGAAAATTTCCAAAAGAATATTTACCTGGTCAATTGTCAATTGCCCTTTTCCAGGAATCTGGAACTTGAATGGTGTTTCTATAAGGGGCTCGTTGGATCTCATGTTTTACAGGACCCCCAGTCTCTGGATATAGATCCTCAGTGTCCACTTCTTAGGAAGAGTAGGTGTAGTAGGTTATATTCCTCCCCCACTCTCTCTAAAAGAGTGCTAAAATATATATTCCATCCCACATTGTTTTTCTATGATGTAACTTCAAGACTGCTACTGCTGTGTGTGTGTTCTAGTCCCTTTACTTTGTGTAGGGTTGTGGCTACAGCTGATGTTTTACTCTCTGGAATAATGGTAGTATACAATTCTCCTGACTCTATGGGAATCTTCACTGTGGAAAATTATCTACCATGCTGTGAGCAAGCCCAGGGAGCTACCTGGAAAGGCCGTTTGAATATATTCTAGGTAACAGCCCCAAGCAAGGAACCTCAGACATCAGCCAGGATCATCTGCTGGACTGGAAGTAGAATGTTTCCATTATTTAATCAGTGATCATGAAAATGACCATCTGGTGGCTAGACAGACTCAATGGACTCACTATAAACTGGGTTTTCATCAGAACTGGGTTTTGTTTGTTTCACTTTTTGTTTTGGTTTAATTTAGTTAGTTTGTTTATTTATTTATTTATTTATTTTTACCTGATACTAATATGTTTCCAATGTAACATGAGGTGTTGGTTATGTCTGGTCTCTAGGTTGTCAATGAGAATTCACAGTCTGTGTGAATTGGAAATATAAACACATTTTAAAGCAGACAGTCTGCACATCTATTATTCCCTGGATGATGCTGTTTGCTTTATTAAACAGCTGCGGAATTCAATGTGGGTTAAACCCTTTTGGTTCTTGCTCAGACATCGCTAGCAAATTCTCAGAAAAGCAATAGGCTGTACCATTAGCCTATGTCTGTAGATGAATATACTATCTAGGTTTTTGTAGTGTGTTCTGATGTTCACACAATGATGAAATCGCCTAATAATGCATTTCTCAGAATGTATTTTGTTGCCATAGGATGCATGACTGTTAAATTCCTGTTCTAGCCCAAAGATTCAGTGACAACTTCTGTGTGAAATAAATTTTTCCCCCCAAAGGGATGAGGTGTAGAATTTACTGTATTAATAGGAGGGAACTCTCACACTTACAAGTGCATTGTACAAAACCCCGTCTGCCCATGATGTACAAAAGTTGTTCCTGAATGAGATCATTAAGTTGGAATCACACACCCACATATTTCCAGAATTCCATCCAATAAATTCACAAACACTTGAAAATCACAATACATATTTTAGGTAATGGTCCATAAGAGATTATTTTAATTGTAAGAAAATGTACAAAAAGTTTTGCCTTTTACAAATTTTTTATTTAATAGCAATAAAATGAAGTGACACTAAAGTACAAAAAAAGCCTGAACAGTATGATTTCTTTGTATCAACAGTGAAGGGCTCCCTTGTATATGGAGTTCCCAAACAGTAAGTTTTCTTAATCCTGATCATCTGTGGCCAGTGTAAAAGAAAGGCCTGACAGGAAAAGTTAAGGAGCCAGCTGGGTAACTCCATATGAGGGAACTCTTGGTGACATTCAAAAAACTCACACTTCCACTTTCAAAATCAAGAAACACACCAACCCGGCCCAGAGGTTTCTCTATATAGTGAGGAAACACTGGGGAGGTGGTCAAGAGATTGAAATGATTATCCACCTTCAGACACAAAAGAAGAAATATGTCCTCAGAGTTAACCATTGTGCTATTCTTCCTTATCCAGGAGTTGTTACAGACTCCCAGAGCCCAGTCACAAGAGTTGTCCACATCCAGCTCCCAGTAGTGTTTCCCAAAGGAGAAGACCCTGGCTCCCCATGCAGCAAAATAGTCAGATCTGTCAGAATTCAAAGGTCCACGTCTAAACATCCAACTTCTCACATCCTCAAAGAGCCTGATATTGTGATTGGTTACTTCAAAATGGAAGGAAATTTCCACTGTAGAAAAAAGAGAATGTTCCAGTGAAAATCAGTTTGTAAATTCTTATGTTCAGATAAGAAAGAGATTCTCACTAGAAAACACAGGTCAAGATTAGAAAGAAACTTCTGTCTGGAAAAATGTTGGAATCAAAGGGTGTTAGGAGATCTGCACAAGTAAATGGCTAAACTAGGATGATCACAATTTCCATAAACTCAAAAAGTATAAAGGGGAGGAAGGTCATGTCTATGTCTCGTTAGCGACCTTTCATAACAACTGAAAAACTGGAAGCTCCTCCACTGCAGCCAAGTCCATAGCCATAAAATTAACCTTCATTGTCTCTTCTCCGTCAGGGCAGAGCAGGAGGCTTTGGACAGGAGATGAGGTGGGGAGCTATTCTTAGTCCCAAATAAAAAAGTTATCACTTTCCAGAAATATTATGATCTGCCACTTAACCTAGCAAATTCATACTTAAAGAGAAAACCTGAATCTGCCTTCTGAAAAGTGCTGATTCCTTGCAAAAATTATCTGACTTTCATGCCAGATTCAGGCACAGACTTCTTTTATTCTGCTGGATTTGTCATGATCTATCCTGGAGTTCTATCTAAGACCTCGTCAACCACCAAATCATGTTCCTATTGTTGACAGATTCTCAGTTTTTGCATTGTTATATAAGTTACTCATGTATGCTTTAGTTGATTAAAAACATGATTAAAATTATAAATGCTATGAAACATCACCTAAAAATGTATTTTTTTAAAAAAAACGCTGTCACTCAAATCAGTCGTTAACTGCACTGAATTTGAAATTGAAATGTCCTGAATTCAGTTCTGTATACTTCATGTAATAATTGTATACATGAAATTGTATCAGAGAATGGTTCCTAAAGTCCTAAAGAGCCCTTCTGCATGTTTTATTTTTCTAAGAAATTTGTTATATGGCTGATTCCTATTACATTTCACCAGCTTTTATTTCGTTTTGTCTGTTTGATGATAGTGAAACTATAAATATAAATACCTATTCACAGGCTATTCTCTTCTTCTAGATGAAAGATCATTACACTGGGAAAGCTGCCCATAGAAAACCATAATTGAAGGCATTGCATGTGGATCCCACCAACAGGGCCACACTCACCTCGGAAGCGGTTGAGCCTGTACACCAGTCCAGTGATGGGTCCTGCAGTGAGCTCTGGATTCACAGGCTGGGGCATGTGCAGCAGCACGGACTCACTCCTGCAAGGAAGTAGGTTGAGTTGGTTAACTTTCTGATGTCTGTGTTTAAGAAACAGATTCCAACAGAAAATGCTTCATTCAAACCCACTTCTGATACCGTAATGTACCTCCACAACGCTAGGATGGGTTTGTGGCTCTTAGGGAATCTTTCTAACTATTCACTCCATTTCTAACCTACTGCCCCTGAAAGATAAATGCCTCTCTCCCTATCTGCCACCAAATAGTTTATCTCTAATTATGATTCTGAATCGCAAAAAGAGGCAACTGTATTCTAGCAACCTCTGCATTGCACTCTTCAAAACATAAACCCCTGAGTCACTTGGGAAAGTAAGAAAAGATTAATGTCTGATAAAAGGCATAGATGACATTCATCATACCACATAAACACATGACTACACACACATACACACACAATCACACTGACACATTATGGTGTTAGTAAATTATGTTTTCACTTTGTTGGAAACAGCTTGATGTTTTTCATAGCATGCCTTGTGCTCCAGTTTGCACTGACGGCCAAAAACATACCTTGCCACGATGTCTCCCAAATCCTGTAGAGAGAGAGAGAAAAAAAAAATGACTTCTTTAGAAAGTTGTTATTCTTGTTGGGTGAGGTGGTTCACACCTGTAATCCCAGCACTTTGGGAGGCCAAGGTGGGTGGAACACCTGAGGTCAGGAGTTCCAGACTAGCCTGGACAACATGGCAAATCCCCGTCTCTACTAAAAATACACACACACACACAAATAGTGGGGTGTGGTGGTTCATGCCTTTAGTCCCAGCTACTAGGGAGGCTGAGGCAGGAGAATTGCTTGAACCAAGGAGGCAGAAGTTGCAGTGAGCTGAGATTGGGCCATTGGACTTCAGTCTGGGTGACAGAAGAAGACTCTGTCTCAAAATAAACACACAAAAAAGTTGCTATTCTGCCTATCTGGTCTTTAGGTTTTCAAAACTTTAGAATTACCGTATACTATTACTGCCACTCTTTTAAAATGTATTCTCATCTCTAACAATTATACCAGTAAGACCTATTGACAATATGGATTTCTGATAAATTAAGGACCCTAAATTTGAGTGAGAGAGAAAGGTGTGAGTAGTGACTGCGCATTGCTGCAGCTGTCTACAATGTGGTCTTTTTCAGGGCTAGTCCCCAAAGTGTAATGTGGCTCAAATCAAGCATGAAATTTTTTCTTCCAGAGTTTTAATGAAATGTGCTGGAGGAGGAAGCTTGTGGTAGAAAATGTTGTATGGAAATCTAGTTGCACAATTCCATAAAGCTTTATTTCCATGATTAGCGTAGGAGTTATAGTTTATCTCTATAACCGGTGGGAATGACTCTCACCGTCAGTGCAGGAGATGAGGAAATAATGTCTTTGGTACCCAATGGAAGGCAAAGATGTAAAGGTCAGCTAACACAAAGTGTCTCAAGGGGCATCCTCCATTCTTACCTGGAGCAGCTCCACCTCTGGTTTATGACACATTTCCATTAGTTCCTGATACATTTCTTTCAAGTGTTTACTCTTTTGATCCATTTTGACCCAACTTCTCTGGAGTTGCTGAAAAATCTCTTGGTATTCCTTGTTCAGTCTCTCTAAATGTTGTTTTTCTTCCTTATGGAGAACCGGATGCAGCTTCCTATACTCATTCCTGATCATCTGTGCCCGTAAAACCACATCGCCCTGTAGGGATATGAATTTTGTAGGTTATATACCCAGGCCTACTTCCACCTCACAGAGCCCACAACTTCATCCTCCTCATTCCTTCTTTTATTTTCCATCCTTTACAAACAGGATGATGAGTTAAGCAAGACCTTCCTTCAAAATTTATGTAATTCATCAATTCCCAAACACCTGCAAAAAAGCCCTTTAGGTTTAAATGTTTAAATCAAATCGGAAATACAATTAGAAAACAACTAAAATTTATGATTGATTGTTACATTGTCATGGATAATACACATAATCTTTGTTATTCACTTAGGTTGTTGTTTCAAATCTCTGTACTTCACAGCCTGAACAATCACTCTTAGTAGAAATGTTTTTAGTATATTATAATCAGGATCAGAAGCCATCACACAAAAAGGATCTTAGTAAAAAATTTAACCCCCATCTCTCAAACCGACTACCTCTTTTCTGTCTCCTATCTTTCTTCTGTCAAATCCATAGACTCTGTATTGCACTGCCATTCTAAGAACATTAATCCCCATTCCATTGTGTTTCTCCTCTCAATAATGACATATTTATCCTCTCACTGCCCCAGTCATTTTTTATCCCTTCTCCTCAGCTTTTCCTCATGTTGCATTTTCTCCTACTCGGACTGGCATCATGTGGGTCCTTTGCTACCAGATTTCACCAGCACAGGCACATTTCTTAAATTACTGTTCCCACCCGATTTCTTCCCCCGGACAATACCATATTCACCAATAAATGCCTTTATTTCTCAATTATATACTATTTAATCAATATTTCATAATTCATTTTATACAGAAAACTGTCTGAAATACTTATTAATTTTAAGCACATACTTGCCCTTCAGAATTTATATTTATTTTTTACTTATCTGAAAAGCATTTACAGAAAACCTGAACAATCGTTATGTTGAACAGTCTGGTTGTTTTCCAGCCTATGAATAAACACATGACAAAATCTGGCATATGAGAATTTCAACTCAAGTTGCTAATATAAATGTTGTCAGCATGCCTGTCTCAAGCTGGTCAGGAGGACTCACGGTCTCATACTTACCCTCAAGAGGAAGGCTGTTCTTCTCTCCTCATATAGATTTCTCTGATTTTCTTGAATCTTTTTCCATAAAATCCTCATTTGCTTTAAGAGTTTCTCCTGCAAAAGAATTAAAGGTTGAACAGAAAGTCAAATACCAAAGATTCCACCATCTGAGTGGTATAAGCAGGCAAGGGATCTAATATATAAATACATTAGTGAGAGGAGAAAAAAACAAAATTTTTCATTGCTCATCCTTAATTGATATTTTTCAGTTTGAGGTTTCAGAATGTAGAACAGTTTAGGGAACTGAAGAGTGAAGATTTCCTGTAACCCAGCTAAATTAGTTCAGGGAAACATCCTGCTTCAGAACCCACTATGCTAGCCCCTGATTTTGTAGTGTGCTACTCCCATACTCATTTGTCCAGTAATATTAAATATATTTCCAAAATACCTTTCTTTGCACTGGTAGTTTTGGTAGCTTTTCAATGTCATTAGCATTGAACTGTAGAGTCAATAATAATGACATTTACTTAATCAGTCTCTTTTTGGGTGCAAGCTCCATGAAGGAAGGTAGAGTTGCACATTTTATTCAAAATGTCATCATTGGTACCTAGAACAGCACCTGGCACTCAGTAAAGAATGGAGTAATCACCGTGATTCTCATCATCCTTCTAATCTCTTTAACTCTGCCACCCTCCAGCTTTCAGGTGATCACAGAGCTATCTCTTACCCGGTCTTCCTCAGCTGCCTCTTCGATGGGATAGTGTTTGTGAGCCCCGTGCTCCTGAGAGTTGGAGCACAGCAAGCAGAGGAGACTCTTGTCCATGTCACAGAACATCTTCTTTGTTTGCCTATGGGTCCCACATATTTGTTTCTCAGAGCTCAGGAATTGCCAGAGACTGGCTTTTCTGGCAATGGTCACTAAATTCTTCAGAAGAATATTGGTTTTGAAGTCCATTTTCGGTGATGGTTCCCTGCATGCAGGGCAGTTTGCAGGACTTTGGGCTTCCTCCCACGAAAGGCAGAGACAGGGCCTACAGAAGCTGTGCCCACAGCAGATGGTGACAGGGTCTACCAGGTAGTTCAAACAGATGACACAGGTGAGTTCCTTCTGGAAGGCATGTGAGAAGTCTGAGTCCATTTTCCTAAGGAAAGAAAACCACAGGAATTTAATCTTCTACCCTGGAGAGACAAAGATCCAAGCAAAGTTTGAATCAGATCGTGATCGAATAATATCCTTTCTTTCTAAAGAAGTATAGGTTTTAATTTGCAATGACAGAAATAGGAAAAATAGAAAACTAAGGCACAAAGAGACATCAATCTCTATAAAAAGTGACTGTTCTCCAATCAACACATGACCAGCTTTCCAAACTCTACTTTCTTGCATGGAAGAATGTCGGATTTTTTGAGGTGTTAGTATCCACCAAATTGCTTGGGCTTCAAGGGTTTCATCAACCTGTAAACTCAAAGTTTGAGTCTTGAACGGTCTGAAAATCAGTAACAGTCTTCATTGCCAGTGATTGGTTTAGAGAAGGAAAGCTAACTAAGCTCTTCTACTCTCATTATTTTATTTAACTATAACAACCATCCATAATGACTTTTCCAGAAGGACATTGCTTGAAAATGTTAGAGCAGAACTCATACTTTGACCCAAATCAGAAAAAGCCAGCCTTTACTCTCCAAGGAAAAACAGTCAAATCAAGGTAAGTTACCTCTCCAAGGTAAAGCTAAGAATCATTGTTTTTCTAGGCTGCTATGTTAATTTAATCAACAAAAACTTTCTGGCATGTTTCCTGTTCCTGGACAGTCTGTTAATTTGGGGATATACTGGTTAATATTACAACATCTTTAAAAGACAGACAATTAATTCAATTTACAAAAAGATAATGATAATTGAAGCATTATCATTACTCTTTCACACAGTCAGGAAAAGAGTAAGTATCATGCAATAACAGGCACTAGAGGCCGGGCACGGTGGCTGACGCCTGTAATCCGAGCACTTTGGGAGGCCGAGGTGGCTGAGGCTGGCAGATCACGATGTCACGAGATCAAGACCATCCTGGCTAACATGGTGAATCCCTAACTCTACTAAAAAATACAAAAAATTAGCCGGGAGTGGTGGAGGACGCCTGTAGTCCCAGCTACTCTGGAGGCGGGGCCTGGAGAATGGCGTGAACCCGGGAGGCGGAGCTTGCAGTGAGCCGAGATAGTGCCACAGCACTCCAGTCTGGGTAACAGAGCAAGACTCTGTCTCCCCCCCAAAACAAAAACAAAAACAAAAACGAGGCACTAGACAGTTAAGTCAGCGTTTTAAATGTATGTTTTGCTAAAATACAAATAAAAATTAAAACCAAGCCAGGGAAGGTGACTCAAGCCTGTAATCCCAGCATTTTGGGAGGCCAAGTCAGGCAGGTATTTTGAGCTCAGGAACTCTAGACTGGTGACACGGTAAAATGTCTAGATCATCCTGTCTCTAAAAATACTTATATAAATTTAAAAAAAAAAAAAAAAAAAAAGGCCGGGCGCGGTGGCTCAGGCCTGTAATCCCAACACTTTCAGAGGCCGAGGTGAACGGATCACAAGATCAAGAGATGGAGACCATCCTGGCCAACATAATGAAACCCCGTCTCTACTAAAAAAAATACAAAATTTAGATGGGCGTGGTGGCAGGCGGCTATATTTCCAGCTACTCTGGAGGCGGAGGCTGAAGAATCGTTTGAACCTGGAAGGCGGAGGTTGCAGTGAGCCAAGAGCGCCGCCGCACTCCAGCCTGGCAATAGAGCGTGATTCCATCTCAAAATAAATAAATAAACAAATAAATAAATAGCTGAACATGGTGGCCCATGTTTAATCCATAAACCTATGGATTATGTTTAAAATAATTTTAAAAAAGAAATGGAGCCGTTTTTAAAACTCAGAAAATGAGATCATTCCATCTAAAAATAATCTAAGTTTGCAGATAAATTAAAGTCCCCAAATTTTGTTTTGGTTTGTAACCTAATAGTAGATCCTTCTCTGGAAATTGTGTACTTACCTCAGAAATATATCTATGTTCTCACCAAAGCTTGCTGTCGAATCAGATGGATTCAGCTCAGGGATGAGAGTCTCACAGTGCAGTGCTGGTAGCTTTCGGAAGTCCCCAAAGCCAGTTGCAAAGCTACTCTGTGGGCTCTGGAGAAGAATGAGCTTGGCTCCTGAAGTGTCGGTTTATAAATCTCTGAAGACCACACCCCTTTCTTCCAATTGATTGCATTTCACAGGGCGTAGGTGGGTGTTAACATAGATGATTAAGTTTCTTCAGAACAGAAGTTTTATCTTTATTTATTTATTTTTTTTGAAAGGAGTCTGGCTCTGTCGCTGGCTAGTTTTTTTCTTGCATTTTTAGTAGAGAGGGGGTTTGATATAATTGATATAATAGGAATTGCAAATAGAGAAGCCCACACAAGCTAACCAAATTAATTCTAGTTTATTGGATAAATGGCGTGATATGTATTCTAGTTCAAATTTGAAGGTTGGTATAAACCTTTTCAGACACTGGAGATGAGACATTTCACCAAGATTGGGTGTGAGGAAGAGGAAAGAAATAGAATAGTATATAAAATAGTATATAGAGTAAAAATATAGTAAAAGGAAAAATCAATCTGCATAATATAGTGTATGGCTAAATGTGTTTTAACATTTAGGTGAATCAGACATGGAAAAATCCTAAAAGGGAGATTAATAGAGTAGATAATTGACTCAGTAAGAACTGTGAATAAGCATCTCAGGAAGAGAAACTAGAAGTCTTTATATAGGTTTTGATTTAAAGAGGGAGAGAGAATAGGAACATTGAAAAAGATGGACAGAAAGAAATAACAAATATTCAAGACTCCTTGCAAGAGTGAGGCAGAAAGTTTATAGATTGCTTGATTACACCCAGCATATAATTATTTGAAGTTTTCTGTTGAGAGTGAGAGTATGTAATCCTTTTAACCAAATGTCTCCGCAGAACTATGTGTCATTAAGTAAGGTGATAATCAATATTCAATATCAAAAGATGCGTCTATTTCTCGATGAGGAGAAGCAACTTCATCTGCAGGCACTGGACAGAGAAGCAAAAGGGCTTTTCCAACAACTACAAGACAGTCAAGTGAGAATGACCCAACATTTAGAAAGGATGAAAGACATGTACAGAGAGCTGTGGGAGACGTGCCACATGCCTGACGTGGAGCTGCTCCAGGTGAGGAGGGAGGGTCCATCCCCAAAGAAAGGAAGACTTTGCTGGACAATGCTGCCAGGACATGCAAATGTCACCTGCATATGTCACTGCTCTCAGCTTAGTGACACATGCTGTCTGACTCCCACATTACATTTGTCCAGTTTTTCAGAAAAAAGCTACAAAAGAAGCTTATTAGAGGGGAATATTCCCTGTGGTCAGTGTTTGATAAAGGGGAATATAAAATTACATCCACTCAAAGATTCCAAAAAAGCTTGCTTGATCATGGTTAGGATAAGAATTACATTTCACCTATGTTATTACTATTTGGAAAAGTTCCTCCCTCTTAGAAGGAGGAGACACATATATGATATATATATTATATATATATATGTGGTACATATATATGTATACACACATATGCATATATATATACCCCCACACACACACATATCTATGGTGTTGAATAAATAATATCACCTAAGCCAGTGGTGTGCAATCTTTTGGCTTCCCTGGGCCTCATTAGAAAAAGCGTTGTCTTGGGCCACACATGAAATACACTAAGATTAACTATAGCTGATGAGCTTTGATAAAATGACAAACAAAAATCTCATCATGTTTCAAGAAAGGTTAGGAATTTGTGTTGGGCCACATTCAAAGCCGTCCTTGGCCGTATGTGGCCCACGGACCGTGGGTTGGGCAAGCTTGTTCTAAGGTATGAACTTCAAATACTACAAAAATTTTTTAGGCATGTTATTGGTTCTTTCCTGGAGCAGCTCCACATCTAGTTTATGGCACATTTTTATCAGCTCCTTATAGATTCTTCTTAGATTATTTTTTTTTTCTGAACCATTTTGTCTTTTTGCTTTTCTTAAGTTGCTGTAAAATCTTTCTGTCATCATCTGTAAGTTTCTCTAAATGTTGTTTTACTTCTCATGGGGAACTGAATGCAGCTTCCTCTACTCAGCTCTAGTCATCTCTGCCCGTAGCTACACATGGCACTCCGGGGACCTGGATTTCCTAGATGACATGTTTACTCTGAATTCATCCTCCTCCACTTATACCTCTTCTATTCACTTTGACTCGTTTTCTTTTCTTTATCTCTTTCATCCTTTCTTTATAATAAAGATCACGGTCTTACTATGTTGATGGCCAGGCTGGTTGGAAACTCCTGGTCTCAAGTGGTCTTCCCAAATTATTGGGATTACAGACATGAACCACTGAGCCTAGCCTGACTCATGTATTCTACCAATAAGCTAAGTACATAAACTCGTGTCTTCCCACTTGACAGAACCATGGAATAAATCATTCCTGTCTTCCTTTCATTTATTTGTATTGTTTCTTAATAATACTGACAGCCAAATTCATTCGTTCCTCAAACCACTTTCATTCATTATATGACTTCCTAAAACACCTGAAGAAAGGTTATTATTGATCGTTTCTTCAATATATATCCATTGATATCTGAAAGCCTACATGAGAGCCATTGGAATTTATGGTTGATTCACAAATAATTTTTTGCAGTGTTATGATCTCTGTGTTTTTAAATTAGTTTTTAGTACCAGGTCTTCCTACTCCATAGCTTGACCACTCTCTCTGAGCAGTAATCAATGCTGCATTGTACCCTCAGGATTGGAAGCCATGAGAAAAATCTTCCTCAAATCCTACCAAGATGATTTCCATTCAAGTGATAAGTGGATACATTTCTAGCATGTCTGTCTGAGGCTAACTCTGAGGGAAAAGGCCTAATACTTGCAATCCACTGGTTGGTTTTCCTGCTTTCCTCATTTAAATTTCTTTGGTTTTCTTGAATTTTTGCCCACAAACATCTCATTTGCTTCATAATCTTCTCCTGTAAAAGAACTATGAATGTGAACATCAGAGAAGCAAATCATTTTAGGTTTCAGACCCCCAGTGATAAAGAAATCAAGGGATGAGATATGAAAGAGATTTGGGAAGATCTCGGACTGTAGAACCACAACGTGTAACGCAGCAAGTTTAATAGGAAAATCATAGGCAGGGCTAATTTACAGATAATGTGGCACCTTGCATCAGAATTGGAATCTACTGACACCGTGCCCTGCTAATTCTAACGTGTTTTATTCTATTATTTCCAGTGTTGGTAAATAGGTTTCTTATAGAAAAGACTTTTTAACTTGTAGTTTGGATAGCCAGAAACTCTTCTGATATTGAGCTCTTTACAGTGCCTTGAACACTGCATCAAGTAGTCAAATTATTACAATGATTATTAACTTCATCACTCCCTCAGTGAAATGTAAGCTCCAGGAAGGAAAGCACACTCAGATTATATTTATTATTTTATCATTGATACCTAGGCACTACACGACATCCAGTACAGAGCAGATTAATCATCATGCTCTTCATCTTCCCCTAATCTCTTTACCTGTGCCATCCTCCAGCTTTCAAAGTGCTCTCAGAGCCATCACTTACCCAGTGTTCCTTAGCTGCCCCTCACAGTGTGTGTGAACCCCATGCTCCTGAGAGTTCCAGCACAGCAAATGAATCAGGCTCTTTTTCCACCTCTCCAAATATCTTCTTTGTCTCCCTGTGGATCCCACGCATTTGTTCATTAGGGCTCAGGAATTGCCAGAGACTGGCTTTTCTGGCAACGGACACTAGATTCTTCAGAAGAATATTGGTTTTGAAGTCCTCCTGCTGTGACAGTTCCCAGCATGTGGGCAGCAGGTAGGAATTTTGGTTTCTTCCTAGGAAAGGCAGAGACAGGGCCTACAGAAGCTGGGGCTGCAGCCTGTGGCAATGGGGTCTACACATTAGTTCAGACAGAAGAGGCAGATGGGTTCTTTCTGGAAGGCTTGTATGATGTCTGAGACCAATTTCCTGAAGGAAGGAAATTAGGAAAGGTATGATTCAAACTTCTTCATCTTATGCCCTGAGAAACAAAGACCAAAGCAAAATTTGACTCAGGTTGTGACTCAATGATACACTTCTGTCTAGAGTAGAATAGGCTTTATTTTGCATAAGACAAAAATAGAACCTGAGGCACAAAGAGAGCTCTCAGATCTGTAGGTAAAATTGTCAGATGCATGCATAACTCACAGGGCACTACATCCTACCCTTTTCTTTTGTATAGAAAAATGAACCTCAGAGAGGCCAGAAATGGTGGCTCACACCTATAATCCCAGCACTTTGGGATGCCAAGGCTGGTAGATCAGGTTGGAGACCAGCCCGGCCAATATGGGGAAACCCCATCTCTACTAAAAATACAAAAACCAGCCATGAGTAGTGGCACACGCCTGTAATCCCAGTCACTCAGGGGACTGGGCAGAAGAATCGCTTGAACCCTGAGGTTGCAGTCAACTGAGATTGAGCCACTGCTCTTCAGCCTGGGCAATAAAACAATACCTGTCACAAAAAGAAAGAAAAAGAAGGAAGGAAGGAAGGAGAAAAGAAAAGAAAGAAAAGGAGAAAAGAAACCTCCATTTTGTTGAGTTTTGACTTTACTCCAAAAAGCTTGAGGTTTAAGAGTATGAAATTGGGACCAATTTACACCATAGATGATGGGTCCTGAATATTCTGAAAACCATTCTTAATGCTCATTGTGATTGGTTTAGGAAAGATCGATTTAGTACAAAAGAAAAAAGTGATTGGTTTAGGAAACTGTATTTCACTGAGATTTTACTCTCATTATTTCATTTTGATGTCATAATTTTCTCCTTTAAAGTATTTCGAAAATCCTCAATCACAAGCCACCACTGCAAAATAATTTCTAAATAAATAAGCAATATTTATTTACTGAACATTTGGTGAAATTTCATCAGATCAGATTTCACCCAAAATTTGATCAGATTTCACCCAAAAATGCTAAAGAGGCATTTAGTATACTCTAAAACACAATATTACCCTCAAATTATTCAACATATTACCTAAGTTGTATATTATAGAATATTTTGTCTTGTGCATATATTTATGTGCCACCTTCAGAATTGAAGGTAATACATTTATACACAACATATGGAATAAAATATTCTCCATAAAATTTAGGATATACAACAAGTATAAAATTGCAAGATATCTGAAAACTATTTTCTGAGTTCTTAGAATACATAGGAACAACTAATGAATACATAAATGATACAAGTAAAATTAATCTTCACTGTAGTTCACAAGTATGTAGGAAGACAGGATAACAAAATAAGAGTAAAAACATTTTTACTAATTAAGCAAATGACATCATTTCATAGAAACAAGCTCAGTTTGTTGAAAAATTCAACGTAGGGCAGTCTGTTTTGGACTGGAAAACTAGCAGGTACTCCTCCTCTGTTAGCTGTGCTCTCACCCTAGAAATATACTTATGGTCTCACTGATACTTGCTGTAGAAGTAATAATATAAAGTCTGATCAGGGATCAGGGCCTCGCCATATAGTGGCAGTAGCTTTCAGACATCTTCACAGCCAGTTGCAAAGCCACTCTGTGTGTCCCAGAGAAGAATGAGCTTGGCTCCTTGTACCTCTTTATATTGAATCTCTGAAAAATCACACTGATTTTGAAAAGGCTATGCATTTCTTGGAGTTTGGGATAGCCGTTAGGGTTCTTGATTAGGTTTCACCAGAAGAGAGGAAATGATTGATTCAACACCTTGGCTAATCTCCATAAACACACTTTAAACTTCCTCTCATGAAGAACCACTGAGTTTACAGCAAATGAACCCTCAAATACCAAATTTGTGGATAATTTTTGGGGTACTTTAATATGTTACTCATCAAAAGATGGGAAAGAGGATACCATCAATTTATGATTTTAATAAATGTCTTCAAAAGTCTGGAATATTTTTTCTCCTTTTTCTTTTTTTTTCTTGTGTTTTTGGAAATGTTTTGCCTGAAGTTGGCTTTAATTCTAATAGTCACTGAACTGGACTGGAAATGCACTTTGCTGTTGCTTTTAAGACTTGATCTCTGGTTTTAGTGTATTAATGTATTACTGTCAATTCATATATTATATATATATTTTCTGGCTCTGTAGCCCAGGCTGGAGTGTGGTGGTGGAATCACAGCTCACTGCAGCCTTAAACTGCTGGGCTCAAGTGATCGTTTTGCCTCATTATCTCAAAGAGCTGAAATTACCGATGTGAGCCACTGCACCCGGCCTATTAATTTATGTTTTTAATAAAAGCATAAGAATTATCCTTATTATAAATTAAGAAATAGAATATCTTTAAGAAAATATTTTTAAGGAAATATAATATCTTTAAGGAAAAATGAAATCTCCAGTAGCTATAGACTCCTATGAAAACCACCGTTACCAATAGCAATTTTGTGTATGTCTATATAACACATACATATGTAAATATATATAATATATACATGAATTTTTTCACATTCGGCAGTCATTGAAGAATAAAAATTGTAATGTATATTAATAAAAAGTGAAATAAGTAAAATTTGCTGTTTAGTGAAAACTTTGCTTAGCAACTTAAATGAAGCTGCAGAAAATGTGACTTGGATAATAGATGTAAAAAAATGTCATGAGGGCTTCACAGGTGGACAAATAGAGGTAAACTAGGAGAGTAGTAGTGACATATGGAGGATGAGAGTATCACATATGTCCTTTATAAACAGCATAATGTGTGATTGACTGTAGCACAAAGGGGAGCTAAGTAGAGAAGATGAGGAGAGTACATATTCAAGGATATAATGTTTGATAGTTTTTTCAGAGTAAACAAATACATTATTGAATTAAAGAAGCCAAACAATCCTCATTTTGGATTTGTAAAACATAAATTTACTTTGTTTTGAATGTGCAAAACAACATATTTTGGCTGATTTTTAGTATTTCTCTGTCTTTGGTGGCTGATTCATTATGATATTTTAAGTTTGAAACCACCACCAAAGATGAAGAATCTCTTAAAAGCAGCCAAAATAAACTGTTTCATTGTGAGGGAACACTTAATAGAATGACAACAGACTGCTCCACAATCATAAATCATAAATGTAAGTATAAGACGGTGGACTAATATTTGTAAAGTGTCAAAAAATGTAACTGCCAATATGGAGATGAATGTGAATTGGAAATATCTTTTATATAAGAGGATAAAATGACTCTTGTCATATAAGTATAATAAAAAAGGGACTTTATATCCTACTAAGGGCTTCTAGAACAGTACGCATAAGATCTACTTGAAAGATAATTCCAACACCTCTGCCACATTGAATCTGGCTTTATTTATTGCTTAGTCTCTTAACAGTGTTTCCTTTATGTATCTTTTCTGTTTCTATACATGTCTGGTAAGTTTTACCCAAAAAGTGAACTATGTAGAGTAGACTAATGTAGAAAGCATTAGAACACATGTAGAACCCACATGTATTCCCTTTTACTAGGCTGTATGTGTGTGTTTTGGGGGAGGAGGTTGAATCAATCTAGTCAGGAGTTGATTTGGTTTTGGGACTTTTTCCTCTTAGAGTTATTTCCAGGGCACCATAAGTTTCACGCTTATCTAGCATTACTTTGTGTTTCAGGTTGGACTGGTTCAGCAGCTTTTCTCAATATCTGCTGTATCCTCACATTTAAGTTTCCTTTCAAATTCTGTTCAGTCCCCCAGAAGACACTGCTTTGACCTGTTACTCAACAATTGTGAGCCTAGATGGGGGTGGGGATGAGGATGGAGAAGCATTCTCTGTCATTCTGATGAAGCTCAGTCATAGGTTGACACTGTTTCTGGGTCTGCATGGTTGGAATCCTTTTTGTTTTTTTGGTTTTTTTTGACGGAGTCTCACTCTGTTGCCCAGGCTGGAGTGCAGTGGCATGATCTTGGCTTACTGCAAACTCCACCTCCTGGATTCACACCATTCTCCTGCCTCAGCCTCCCAAGTTAGCTGGAACTACAGGCACCAGCCACCATGACCAGTTAATTTTTTAAAAAAATATTTTTAGCAGAGACTAAAGCCAAGATGGTCTCAATCTCCAGACCTGGTGATTCGCCCGCCTCAGCCTCCCAAAGTGCTGGGATTATAGGCGTCAGCCACCACGGCTGGCTAGAACCTTCTTAATGATCCTGTCCCACCTTCAGATGTAGGTCTAAATCCTCCACATATTTCTTTTCCTCTTTTATCTTTTCCCGTTTCCAAAGTTCAATTAGTTTTACCAATGTCCCAAGGGCAATGACATTCCTTATCTTTTCCTTTGTAATTTAAGATTGTGTTACACAGGAGAGATGAGGAGGTAAATACAGGTATTTAAATGTAATATTCTGTGAATCTCTTCACAGACTGTAAAAAAAATGTATGTGGCACATATACACCATGGAATACCATGCAGTCATAAAAAAGGATGAGTTCATGTTTTTTTGCACGTACGTGGATAAAGCTGGAAGCCCTCATTCTCAGCAAACTAACACAAGAACAGAAAATCAAACACTGCATGTTCTCACTCACAAGTGGGAGTTGAAAAATGAGAACACATGGATACAGGAAGGGGAGTATCACACAACGGGGCCTGTCAGGGGGTGGGGGGCCAGGGGAGGGATAGCATTAGGATAA
Source organism: Homo sapiens (assembly GCF_000001405.40). Classification (NCBI taxonomy): domain Eukaryota; kingdom Metazoa; phylum Chordata; class Mammalia; order Primates; family Hominidae; genus Homo; species Homo sapiens. The sequence goes on along the minus strand of NW_025791760.1, from coordinate 345,696 downwards.
ATACCTAATTTAGATGACAGGTTGACAGGTGCAGCAAACTACCATGGCACAGGCATACCTATGTAAAAAACCTGCACATTCTGCACATGTACCCCAGAACTTAAAGTATAATAACAAAAAAGCATGGTTTATGTCTTAATGTTGATTGATATTAACTTATCATAAAAGAAATTATATATATACACATTAGAAAAATTAGGCATAAAATTGAATTTATCTATTTCAAACTTCTTTTCTTACACGTTAAAATATTAAAAAATACATATATAATTCTCTTCTTCATGAAAGAAACTCATAGTTTCTCTCCTTCATTGCAATGCTGCCTGGATCTTATCCTGGTTATTTTTACGTTTCCTAACCATTACCTTCCTAAAATATTATTCAACATTCTTACTTCTAATACTAATTAATGGAGTTTGCCATTTATATAAATAAAACACTGTAATATAACATTTGTGTGTTTCAATTCTTTTTCTTAAACTTCTTTCTTAAACTTGGGATTCATTAATTTGTTGCATTTTGGTGTTATTCTCTTTGTTTTATAGAATTATTTTGTATGATGAGATCACAATTTATTTAGCAATTCTACTGTTGATGAATATTTATTTTGTCTCCAATTTGGAGCTACTATGAAAATTGATGCAAAGATCAACATTATGTTTATCTCAAAACGTACATAGGCAATCAGTGGAATATATTTTAGAATTAGAGTGTCTAGCCAATAAAGAATGCTCATAGTCAGTTTGCCAAAAAGTATTTCAGCTTACACCCCTCCAGCCATGAATAACTTACATTGATTCTTTTTTTTTTTTATACTTTAAGTATTAGGGTACATGACAACGTGCAGGTTTGTTACATGCCATGTTGGTGTGCTGCACCCATTAACTAGTCATTTAACATTAGGTATATCTCCTAATGGTATCCCTCCCCACTTCCCCACCCCACAACAGGCCCCGGTGTGTGATGTTCCCCTTCCTGTGTCCTTGTGTTCTCATTTTTCAATTTCCACCTATGAGTGAGAACATGCAGTGTTTGGTTTTTTTTCCTTGTGATAGTTTGTTGACAATGATGGTTTCCAGCTTCATCCATGTCCCTACAAAGGACATGAACTCATCATTTTTTATGGCTGCATAGTATTCCATGGTGTATATGTGCCACATTCTCTTAATCCAGTCTATCATTGTTGGACATTTGGGTGGGTTCCAAGTCTTTGCTATTGTGAATAGTGCTGCAATAAACATACGTGTGCGTGTGTCTTTATAACAGCATGATTTATAATCCTTTGGGTATATACTCAGTAATGGGATGGCTGGGTCAAGTGATATTTCTAGTTCTAGATCCCTGAGGAATTGCCACACTGACTTCCACAATGGTTGAACTAGTTTACAGTCTCACCAACAGTGTAAAAGTGTTCCTATTTCTCCACATTCTCTCCAGCATCTGTTGTTTCCTGACTTTTTAATGATCGCCATTCTAACTGGTGTGAGATGGTATCTCCTTGTGCTTTTGATTTGCGTTTCTCTGATGGCCAGTGATGATCAGCATTTTTTCATGTGTCTCTTGGCTGCATGAAAGTCTTCTTTTGAGAAGCGTCTGTTCATATCCTTTGCCCACATGTTGACGGGGTTGTTTATTATGTGTATTTAAATTTTGCTAATTTTTATGAAGGCCTGTAGTTCAACTTGTGGATTAATTTTTATAATTCTGAGGACTAATAAAAGTAACCCTTTTTTCATATTTGGCCAGTTATTTATGCCTCCAATTTTATGAAGTGCCTGTTCAAATATTTTACCCAATTTTATATCGGGTTCATTTTCTTTTATTTATGACATTCATTAATCACATGTATTGCATTTTGTTTCATATAAGTTGGGATAAATATTTTTCTCCACTCTTGGTTTCCATTTTAATTCTTGGATGGTATATTTTGAAACACAGAAGTCATTATTTTTGATATAAACTAACTAAATTTTCCTTCTTAATTGTTACTTTTTTGTCCAGGTTAAGAAATCTTTCTCTATGAGAATATTTTATTATGTTCCCTTCACCTTCACAACATGAATCCATGTGGAAATGAACTCTGTATGGTTTGAGATAGGGGTCAGTATTCAGTCATTTCCATTTGAATATTTAATTGATCCAGCATTGTCCTGATCACCTTGTAAATTTCACTTTAGAACAGCACTCTTAATAATGCATGAGCATTTGTGTATAAGATGAGATTTACAAAGATAAGCACAGCATAGGAGGTCAAATAAGATTACCTCAAGGTATGGATTCAGAAATAAAACACATGGATAAGTATAGTATTGTTAGATGAAGAGAAAGAAAATATTTCCAAGTTACCACTGACTCTTTTTACTCCAAGTTTTTTCATGAAGCACAAGATCTCTATTTTCTTCCATTGATTTTAACTTCATTTAGACACCTCTGTCATCTCTGATTTCACTTTGTGACATTCAGAAATAATGAAAAACCAGAGGATATATTCTATGCCATCCATCATGGGTAATGATTTTCCAAAAATGATTAAACAAAGAACCAATACACATGGTTTTAGTTTTTTCACCATATTTAATAGAAACCGTATTAATGAGTTGTGATGACATTAGAAGGCAACTAAACACATTAAATATAACTTATTTGTCCTCTTTGATGAGGCACAAAAAAGAGGACTTCCTGGGATAAAGGGGTTTACACAGCATGTGGACACATTACCAATTTGTCTCTGGTCAGAGGTGACTACAGCGAAAGATAGGCCTGAGAAGAGGTGAGAAGGAGCAATTATGGATGGTGTATATAAGGGAAATTTGATCAGCATCAACAATGCTCATGGTTCTACCTTCACAATCCAGGAATAATCCTCCTCGGCTGCTAGGCCTTGGAACATATAGCACCACATGTGGGGTGTGGTAAAGAGCCTGCAGTGAACGTCCTCCTTAACACATCCAAGAAGAAAGAGTCCCTCCTCTCCATCTATCTTGTCATTCTGTCTCTTCTCTTTCCAATAATTGTTACAGACACCAAAAGCCCAATTCCAAGAGTCCCCCACATGAACCTCCCAATAATATTTGCCAGATGTGAAAGTCTGAGCGCTCTACTCAGGAAAACATTCAGATGTTGCCATGATGCGGGGACCATCTTGAGGGTCACATCCAACATTCATGCTTCTTAAGTCTCCATACAGGAAGATATGACTATTGGCTCTTTCAGGATGCAGAGTAATATCAACTGCAAATTTTTTTAAAAAAAGTATGGACACATGTAAATAATAAAAGTTAAAATTCTTGAGGGAAAAATTGTTCTACCAAGTATCTACTTTACCAAGGAATTTGAAGTTACAAGAACAGGATAATTTTGATTATAACATTTAATAAAGGACAAGGAAGATTAATATTCTCTACAGGAAAAACAAAACCCTAAAAACAGACATTGAAAATTTGGAAACTCAAAAATTGAGAGTCAAATATAAGACCAGCCTGTTTTAATCCAATTTCCAATGTAAAAGTGAGATATTATATGCCCTGACTGTCCTTTAGCTATCAAGGTCATTATTATTAAAATATTTCTTGTTCTTAAATACTAGTGATATAACTTTGGCAAGAATGGGAAGAGTTTCACTTACTCAAGCACTACTCTAGATAACTGGATAAAAGTCCATATGTCCAAATTATAAGTGATAACTTAAGGCAGATTTCTGCAAAACCTCATTAGCTCTTTAGGTGCCAGAAAATCTATCTCTTTTGTTCATTTCTGCATTGGCTTAGAATGCTTATTAAGACACAGTAGGCACTTGATAATTTGCAGAAAAAAGTATTGTAAGTAATATCCTTAAAGATATCACCTTTAAAGAAACAGGATGACTTATAATATGAATAATTAAGCTGATGATATCTCTCTCTGTCTTTCACAAACAGCCATTTGATTTCTTTCTTAGTGCTTAGAAGTGTGTTTAATATCGTTCGTTTTTGGCTGGGAGCGGTGGCTCACACCTGTAATCCCAGCACTTTGGGAGGCCCAGGCAGGCGGATCACGAGGTCAGGAGATCGAGACCATTCTGGCTAAGGTGGTGAAACCCCGTCTCTACTAAAAAAAAATACAAAAAAATTAGCCGGGCGCGGTGGTGGGCGCCTGTACTCCCAGCTACTCGGGAGGCTGAGGCAGGAGAATGGCGTGAACCCAGGAGGCGGAGCTTGCAGTGAGCCCATATCGCGCCACCGCACTCCAGCCTCGGTGACAGAGTGAGACTCCGTCTCAAAAAAAATATATATTGTTTGTTTTTACTTTTCCGTCAGGAAATCTGTACTCCTTTCAGAATATATATGTACTTTCATTTCGTCACTTCTCTTAGCAGTATTCATTTTATGTTTGAATCAATAAATAATCAATACAGATTGTTCAGCCATGAATTTAGGCCCCATCTTCAACTACGCTATGCTACTTTTTCTGCTACATCTCTAAGCACTGCCTCTCTCATGATATATGTGTAAATCACATATGTGAACTATATAGAATTCCAGTAGTATGATGGATCTTGTATATAGTTTCCAACACCCCCTCCCCAGTTTATCTGCCTGAAATTCTCAGGAATTTCTCATTAATTTTTTTTGTAGTGTAGTTTAATTTTATTTAGAAAATGAAAGATAATATAATTTTAAAACTTTTGACTTACATATACTGTTGATCCTTGAATAACCCTGGTTAGAACTATGTGAGTCACTTATAATTGGAGTTTCTTCTGCTTCTGCCACCCCTGAGACAACAACCCCTCCTCTTTCTCCTCCTTCTCAGCTTACTCATCATGAAGATGATGAAGGTGAAAACCTTATAATGATCCAGTTCCACTAATTATATTTACTATTACATTAATGAATAGTAAATTTATTTTCTTTTGATTTTCTTGATAACATTTTCTTTCCTTTAGCTATCTTTATTGTAAAAATACAGTATAACATATAAAATATGCATTAATCAACGGCTAACATTATCAGTAAGGCTTCTAGTCAACAGTAGGCTATTGATAGCTAAGTTTTGAGGAAGTCAAACATTACATGTTGATTTCTGACTTCGTGGGATCTCGGCACCCCAATCACCATTTTGTTCAAGGGTCAACTCTAAGTTTATTAAATTTTTTTATATCATTCAAATAATCTGAGAATTTCTTTGTGAACACTCAAAGGCTTTATCTTTCTGTGAAACCCTGTGTTTATCTCATGCAATAATTATTGCATTCCATAGTGATAGTATGTTTTCTCATAGCTATTAATATTTTATATCATTCCCCAGGAAATGAAAAATATTTTAGCTGAATATGTTGATATTAGGAAGAAATCCTAATAAAAAGTTTGCTTCCATGTTGAAATGATTAGATGGAACCCTTTCACTATTGTTCTGCTGCTCACAGTAGCATAACAATTTATACCTTGGTAGTGCCCATTGCTCTAGTTGGTACACTGAAGCATATGCTCCCCATGCTTTTCTGATAATATTGTGAATTATATTAACCTTTTTTGAAAGTGATAGTTATGTATTGCTAAAGTGTCAAACAGCTGTCACAAAGTTCTATACTTTATCAAAGTATTTTCATTTCTTGAATTATTTCTTAAGAAAAAGTCTCAATTTTGGAAAAGAAAGACTGCTTTGAAAAAGACTTGAGTTCTAAAATGATAATGGCAAGTATTTCAAAATAACCTATTCCTAAGAGAAATTACTAAATAAGTTGATATTCACCAATTTGAACATTTTATAATAATTAGAATTGATCATTAGACGCCTTGCGCAGTGACTCACGCCTATAATCCCAGCACTTTGGGAGGGCGAGGTGGGCAGATCACCTGTGGTCAGGAGTTTGAAACTGGCCTGGCAAACATGGCGAAACCCCGTCTCTACTAAAAATACAAAAAATAAATAAATAAATAAACAAAAATAAAAAACTAGCCAGGCGCAGTGGCAGACACCTGTAATCCCAGCTACTCGGGAGTCTGAGGTAGGAGAATGGCTTGAGACCTGGAGGCAGAGGTTGACAGGAGCTAAGATCCTGCCACTGCACTCTAGCCTGAGCAACATAGCGAGATTCCATCTCAAAAAAAAAAATTGATTATTAGAAATACAATATAAGAAGATATTTATAACAAAATAAGAAGCAAGCAGAAAGGATGTAAAATTGCAAATATAACTTGATTAATTTTATTTAACAAATATAGGAAAACTTAAAGGGAGTTAATTAATTAGCATAATAATTGTGTTATCTTCAGGGAAATATTGGGAGAATTGTTTCCTTATTGTTTACAATTCTTTCCAATTTTTTTATGTGGGTAAAAAGTCAACAGTGAATATGAAAATTTAAGCAGATTTCAAACATGGCGTATTCCATGAAGCTGATTTTCTATCTTTAAAAGAAAAATGATGTTTTCTTTCCCTGACAAAATGCCTCATCGTTTGAATTATGGTTTGTTAAGGACACACAGCTTTTTCTTCCTTGAGTATTTCTATATTTGGTTCATTTTCTCCAAATGATAGTAAAGATTTAGTCTGTGTCTCTATATGATGTTTACAATTCCTGAAACATGTGAGCAGTGCGTTGCACATAATAATAGTAATTTCTCACTAAGTCAATTAAGCTGAATGTTGAATTTCTCAACCAAAACTTTGAAATCTAAGGAAGAGACATGTCTTCATCCTGCTTTTCTTGTGTGACTTCTTTCCCCTGTATCAAAGAATACAGGGTGTTAACACAGGATACAGAGAAAGAGAAGTGTGTGTTTGTGTGTGTGTGTGTGTGTGCATTTACCTATGTGTAGCCACATCAATTTTTGTATTTGTAAGAATGCCTTGTGAATTTGATTCAGAAACCCATAGCATTTTATTGAAATTATGTTTCATTTGATTGTCTTAACTGTTTATGGGATAACAGACATTCTGGGTTTCATTTATCATACACTATTACAAAATCTGAGTTCTTGATGTTAAATTCATAAATATTGAATACAGCTGAAATCCGGATTATAGAGGTTTTCCTATTATAGGTTATTCCTGTTTTCATTTTGTCAACAGGGTGCAGTTGAAAGAACAATATGGACCTCCCATTTCAGTGTGAATATAGGCAAGTTATTTAACTCCTGACCCTTTGTTATCTTATCTGTGAAATGGGGCTACTACGCTGCCCAACTTGCAGAATTGCTCTGAAGATTAAAAATCACGTATTGTATAAACATTCGAAAGAGTAATTGGCACATAGGAAGCGATCAGCCAGTTCTAAATGCTAACTGCTAGTAAAACTAAATTTTAAAAAAGTAAGAAATAAAGTAATGAATGTAATAATTAATACTTTCTTAATGTAACAATTGTTTCTCATTAATTACATTGTGACAGAATTGGTATATTGAATTCGGTGACTCATTGTTCGTCTGCTCAGAGTTTGTTGATACACTCTCAATTAGACGGAATCATTCTTACTGCAATAGCAATCCCATCACTCCATTTGGAATGTAAGTTCTGTGAAAGCAGGGAGTGTTTGATGCGTAGTGGGCATCCAGATATTGTAGAAAGACTGAAATAAACACCATGTTTTGGTTTCCTAATAGGTTTAGCTTTAAAAGTAAGAATATTGTTAGTTATCACTTGGCAAATATTTATAATTTGCCAGGCATCTTACTGAACATTAGTAGATTATCTTATTTTAATGTTGATGTTACTTCTGTGAGTAGATTACTAGGATACCTAAGTTGAAGAAAGTCTTGCCTATATTTGTATATCTGGGTTTATCAGTTAATTATTATTCCAATGTAAATAAAAATCACTACCATTTTTCCCATTGGCACATGCAGCTGTTTCTGTGCTTTCATAAGCCTCAGCAGAATAGTATTTTATAAGATTTAAAAATATGGTAGCTATGTATGTTATTGTTTTTAATTTGCATATTATAGAAATTTAAAATATGCATTTCATGCTTGAAGAACACTGATTTGAATTGCACGGGTCTACTTAAGAACAATTTTTTTTTTTTTTTAGTTTTTGAGATGGAGTTTCACTCTTGTTGCCCAGGCTGGAGTGCAATGGCGCAATCTCGGCTCACTGCAACCTCAGCCTCTCGGGTTCAAGCGATTCTCCTGCCTCAGCCTCCCGAGTAGCTGGGATTACAGGCATGCACCACCACGCCCGGCTAATTTTTTGTATTTTTAATAGCGATGGGGTTTCTCCATGTTGGTCAGGCTGGTCAAACTCTCAACCTCAGGTGATCCGCCCGCCTCGGCCTCCCAAAATGCTGGGATTACAGGAGTGAGCCACCGCGCCCGGTCCACAGTTTTTAAAAAAATACATATAGTCAGCCCTTTCTATCTGTAGATTTCACATCAGCAAGCAAAGTTGGATAGAAAATACAGTATTCACTGTAATCCCAGGTACTTAGGAAGGTGAGAAAGGAGGATTGCTTGAGCCCAGGAGTCTGAGGCTTTAGTGAGGTATGATCACGCCACTGCACTCCAGCCTGGTGAAAGAGCAAGACTCTATCTCTTAAGAAAATAAAATAAAATACTGTATTGAAGGACAGAAATCCACACATATGGGGGGCCAACTTTTTATTTTTAATGATGGTAAGCTTTATTTTGCCAAAATTTTTTTTTTGTTTTCAAACTTATATTTTCAAATATTAGTATTGCATACAGAAAATGATTTTGTTAAAAATATTACAAAGTAGGAAGGACATAAACCCAGAAAAAAGGCTTTTAAGTGAGTAAATTTATTTCTATGGAACAAATCTCAACAATTATTTTTCCTTTACCTTTGATACGTTAGAACTTACCAAAGAATGATACTCATTACATGAGCTTGAATCTGAGAACCTCAGATGTAGCTAATAAAGAACCAATGAATAATGTAAAGTAAGAGAATTATGAATGTTTTTCTAAAAAACAAAACAAAATAAAACAAAACTGTTACATTCCATTTGGACTCTTAGCCATGTTTTTCAGAAATATTTTCTGTTTTATATTATTGCCTACTTCACTGTCTTAACAAGATGAAGACCAGGACATCAAAGGGCATTAAGCATGTGGTGGGAGTTATATTATGGGCAGTTAACCCAAGGGAGGTCAGATGTGGCTTCAGATTCCACATACACAGCTACCTTTCCTCACTGAGGCAGAGCAAGGTAATCCAGAAAGTCTTATCAGACTCTGAGAATGCTGTACTTACATTATTTGGAAAAATCACTTGAAAAGATGAAATATTAAATAATTTATACTAAAATCTAGATTATTATTCTGATAGGTCAATTTGATTTGTTTAGTGGTTTGCTCACTTTCAGCTTGTTAATTCCACAGAAGAGGAGGGCCTACTTTTCATATATACGTGTCTTTTCTGCAGGACTTAAGTATGCACCAATTCTGATATCTATCAGGGTCCTGGAACCAATTCCCAGAGAAGACTGATTAAGTTCAGTTTTGTTCTGAAATTTTTATTTTGTGTGTAGAAATAACATTTTCATGAAGTTATAACTATGTTCATTTATCATTCCAATATTATTAAGAATTATGAATGATCAACTGATGTTTCTGTAATGAGCACTTATTGGTACTTAGGGTTACCAGATAGACGTTTTTATAGATAGGAAAATAAAAAATGACTCCCACTTATAATATCACTTTTTCTTCCTTTTGTACGGTGGAAAAATATCATAGTTGATTTCTTGCAAGCCAATAGAAAATTTCAAAATATATGTAGTAAATGATAAATATAATATTTTCTCATACAGTATAATATAGTTTTTGCATAGCTTTATTTTCAGTATCTTTTTGTTTCTTATTTTAAAAGAATATGTGTTTATTTTAGAAAATGTTAAGATCAAGAAAGCAACAACTGAAAATAAATATCTCCCTAATTCCATCAGAAAAATATAAAATCATGGTTATAGTCTTAGGTGTATAATTCTAGTCCCTTTCCTATTTTAAATATATTTTTGTTTATGTATACACAAAACCAAGTAAATCTCTCTATATATAATTTATATAATAAACATATATTTATTTATTCTTTTTCTCATGTTTTATATGTAGAGGTTTTTTTCTCTCCTAAATCTTGACTATTGCAATTTTTTTCTGCCAAACATGGACTATCCCCAGGTTGATCTTATATGTACTGCAGACGGAGTTAGGTCATTGGACAGCCAGAAATGGCTCTATCTTTCTGTCCAGGGATTATCAAAGCGTCAGGTTTGGGAGTAAGAGCATGTTTTAAACAGTTTGATTGGTTGACCAATGGCAGCATATTTTTAACTTACCCATCGCCCTCGCTTATGTTGTTGTTCTTAAGAGACAGCTTCTCACACTGTCTCCCACGCTGGAGTTCAGTGGTGCAATCTTAGCTCACTGCAGCCTCAAACTCCTGGGCTTGATCAATCTTTCCACCTCAGCCTCCAAAATCACTGGGACTACAGTCACATGCCACAATGCCCAACTAATATTTGTACTTTGATTTGTAGAGACAGAGTGTCCCTATGTTGCCCAGGATGGTCTACAACTCCAGGCCTCAAGCAATCCTCCTACCTCAGCTTCCCAAATTTATGGGATTACAGGCATGAGCCACCACTCCTGGCCTTATTTATCTCTTTACTTCCGTGTTTGTCCTTCTTTCCTAGGTCCTAGACAGATTTGTCTCAGCCTGTTCTATAAAACATTCTTCTGCCGTGGTCATGTGAAACATTACAAAATTGTTTTTGATGATTCTTCATGTTTTATGTTACATATTCTAACATGGTAGTGTGACTTTTTTAAAAAGGACAAAAAATTACAATAGAAGGTTGGCTAATCACAAACAAGACTTTGATGATCACAGTTGTGCTATAATTTATTGTAATGTATTAAAAAATCAACACTTACTTGTAATGTGCCTTGAGACAAATCATTTAGTCACTTGATTTCTCAGACCTCAGTTTCCTCCTCTGTGAAATACTAATATCAACTGTGCGTAGTTTATTTTAAAGAATTAGAAAAATTGTAAGTAAATACTTTAATACTGAGCATGATTGCTGTGGTTACTATACCGTTGTTACTATTGTAGCACTGAACCACTTACCACTTTAAGTTTTTTTGTTTGTTTGATGTTTGGTTGTTTTTGTTTGTTTGTTTTGTTTTCTTTTGTTTTGTTTTTGAGACAGAGTCTTCTTGCTCTGGAGCCCAGGCTGAAGTGCAGTGGCATGATCTTGGCTCACTGCAACCTCCGCCTGCCAGGTTCAAGCAATTCTCCTGCTTTAGCCTCCTGAGTAGCTGGGATTCCAGGAACATGCCACCGTGCCCGGCTAATTTTTTGTATTTTTAGTAGAGGCTGGGTTTCACCATGCTGTCCAGGCTAGTCCTGAACTCTTGACCTCATGATCCACCCGCCTCAACCTCCCAAACTGCTGGGCTTACAGGCTTGAGCCAACGCACCTGGCCAGAGGAGTCTTTAGAGATGATTGAATGTGGAGGTTCAGTTGACAAGTGGCTTGTTCTAATTGTTAAATTAGAAATATTCAATGTTAGAATTGCTGAGTGCTCTTATGTTTCTCCTCTATATCATTTGGGCAACTAGTAAACAGCCTACTGTTTTATCAACAGGCATGTCATCTATGCTTCGAGCAGCCACAGCAAGTATTCAGGGGAGTCATTTCCAGGAATTTCTAATGCTCTGTTTGAAATTAAAAGCAAGGTGGACCCTTGCAAGGCTAGGGGAGAAGTGAAGAGAAAGATTTCTGTTGCTGCCTTCACAGTGCAGGCAGCTTCAGAGGCTTTGAACCAAGTAGCCTATGAGGATTCTTTAGAGAACCTATATTGAATTGTGTGATATAACACTCAGAAAGAATCATGATGGGTATATTGATGAATTTTTAAATTAGTATATTAGAAATGAAGCTACATATTATATAAAGTTATGTGAGTGTTCATATATATGTTTGTGTATATGTTTTATTTTCTTGTCATGGATTAAAAATAAAACATTAAAATTTATAATTATACAAGGTTATTCTGAAGTGGAAGAATCAAACTCAGTATTAAATCCAAGGGGAATAGACAAATATTGTGAAACTCTCATCTGGCATTATCAGAGAATCAAGTCTAATGTGTTCATGACGCTTCACACATGGGAAAACATCAGTTTGTCATAGAGCACACTGCGGAATATGCACAACTGCTCCAAGCCAGAGGTCTCACGCCCTGCCTGGCCTCCCAAGGCTGAGAGGATCACTATCTCAGCACAGTAGTTGGGACACCGATTAAACTACACTTTTAGTAAATGTGATCACTCTATAGCATAAGAAATCATTATTTTTTATCAAAAATATCTTATTTATATAAAAGACTATAATGTAACACACGAGTATAGAGAAAAATTGTCATGAAATGAATATCTGTGAACCTACTAACCTTATTAAGAAAATAACATTTCCAATATCTTTTGGTTCTCCATGCACTAATGACAGTTGTGCTCATTCACTTTCTTGAATTTTGTGTTTATCTTTATTTGCTCTGTTATTCATTATAATTTTATCACACGTGGCTATATTATTTACATGTCTTACGTTTTGGCTTTAGGTAGTTTTGAACTTTTTATAAGTAAAATCATACCATGTATATTTTTATGGTACTTGATTTTTTTTCCACCGGTCTTTAAGGGTTTAGATAGTTAGATAAGTAGATAGATAGATAGATAGAGAGCATTTATTCAAATGAAAGTAAGATTCAGGGTCCATCAAGACAGAGAAAACATATAATAATGTGAATAGGGAAAGTTAATATAAAGAATGATTATTTATAACAGCATTTGAGCAATGAAATATTGTCTAGTAGAATCTAAGAAGTCTAAATAATACGTGATGAGCACATATAAGGAATTGCCATTGTTTCCAGGGTGAAGTTGAAGTTCCAATGAAGAGTCCCCTCACCCCTTGGCCTCACTGAATGTTAAGAAGTCGCTGTGCTTCCTAGAAATCTAGCCATTTTTATTAAATCAGTCTGGGAAGGCAGGTTGAAGAAAGACGTTTGCTTGCATTTTGTTTCTGTGAATTTAAGTGGCAGAAGATGGAATAGTACAATAAGATAAGGATCAGGAAATGGATCAGGACAAACAACTCAATTAGATAACAGTCCTTTTTAGCACCATAATCCATGTGACATTTCCTCAGTTCTCCCAAATATTTAGAGTCATTAAATATTTGTACAGTTTCCCATTCCCATTCCCACCTTTTTCCCTATCAGTTGTGAACACTCAAATAGAGTACTCTTTCTAAAAATTAGTTAAGAAACATAATTAACAGAAATGACTACATGGTACATACAGCAAACATTAAACTAACAGCCTGGAATACATATCTAAATGTCTTGGGTGATTTGAGCTACAAAACTTGTTGCCATTACCTGCAACCATGTTGTTTTATTAAGTTCTCTGAATGGGCCTACAAAGTCTCGGCGTACTAGAGAGTAGCTCTTAAATTTCCCAGGATTCCACTGCACACAGTGGAGGTCATGGTCAGCTATGCTTGGGATGAGCCATTAATGGCTACATAGCCTTTCCATTAACCCAGTCTCTGCCCCCAGTTTACTTGGGCCATGAACTTTCATGCCTCAAATTTCAATAATGAATTTTATAACATATAACTCCCTCACGACACTCCAAAGGAGGGAATTGTGTCATTTTTGTTGATGGTTGCCATTTGTTTGCTTACTTTTATCACTTTTTTTAAACATGAGGTCCACTCCCTGAGCTGAGAATAAATGGAAAGCTTACACAGGAATTGAAGAATTTGAAAACGTGGATAATTTGCTCCTTGACCTCTAGACAATTTACTTAACCTCTTTAAATGTCAACTGCTTTCTTGCAAAATGGGAGGTAAACTTGATAATCCCTAAAATTTAAAAATGTATAACATTATACAGAGAGGACAGTGGTAAACTCAGGACTGCTGCCCTTTCTATATGATGTAATATTACATAAGACAAACCTATAACGCGTCTAATGGACCACTGTTTACAGTTTGACACACCAATGCATTACCAATATTTCCTTTTAACTACATCTCATAAATTAATATGAAAAACCCTTATAGTCCTATTCCACGTAAGGTGAAGGAAAACTAGAAGCATGAAAAATGAATATTAATTTAATTAAACTTTTCTATAATGGCTCACTGTCTGTTCCAGACTCTGAAAACTCCCAGGTACCAGAAATCTGGAAAAAAAATAGAGCCAGCAAATAGGACCAAGAAGGACTCAGCTTTCATAATAAAATACTCAACATCCTTGCTGTTTTTAATAATGTGGAAAGTTGACAATGGTGGTGGTATTGCTGGTGGGTTTGTGTGTACCTGCATGTGGTGTATATAATTATATACATATAATTACTTTTAGAGCTCTTGCATCTTGAAAAACGCCCATCTGTTTGGTAACATTTTATGTTGTGGCACTTTCCTCACATTTGAAAATGGGAATTGTGATACAAAGACATGTATTTTTTTTTCCACACTAAGATTCAGAATGTTCTGGCACAGATATTTCTCATTCATGTTAGCTATCTACATTCATTAGCTGTTTAGATACCATCAATAGAATTCTTTAAAAAAAAAAAAAAAAGAAGTCGCTGTGCTGTTGTGCTTGAAAAACTTGCTTTAAATCCACACTTCAGAGCTCCCCAGAAACTTGCCTTCTGGGCCACTTGTAAAGCTGTTTATGAAGAAATGTCATGCTAGACGGGCTCCACTGCAAATATGGCAAAGGACAGTATCAGGAGGAGCTCACGGCTGCTGAGTTCTCCTGGCCACCATGAACTTCAGGAAGTGCGTGCTATAGCAGCAGCCTGAATTACAGAATCTGGTCATCGGTGTATCCCTGTATGCCCTCCGGGCCAGACACTGGAGGTGTCATTTCCAAAGCAGATTGGAAGCGCTTTTTTGGAATTTCTCTCCAGTGCTTTCTACTCACAAAAATTGACATCTTAACACGTGGCAAAGAAAAAATATTTAAAGGGTCCAGATCTATTTATGTAAACAACCAAGAGTGAGTTTGTAGTGGATAACCCAAAGTTGGATAAACGTTGCATAATAAAATATATATTTATTCATTTTCTGCTGTTGTACATTTGGAATGATTTTTGTATTTTGATTTTGTGAACACGTCTCCTAATGCAAATGTTCAATAGATTCTCTTTCCTGACAGTATCTTCTGATAGCTGGAATGTCTGGGTTATAAAATTTGTTGATCGTCAATTCTACTGGCAATGCCACAGTGTTTCAAAGTAATTTTACGTATTTATATTTCCACTGACAAGGTAATCATGTTATACAAAATAATAGAAATATGGATGATTATGGCAAGTTAAAGAACTACAAAGAACTCACCCTTACTAGAATCCAAGGCATTTGTGGGAAGAACGATTCATACATTGAGCACCAAATACATGAAGTACATTTTGGAAGACATCGAGACGAGTGTAACTACTTGTAGCTTATCAAAATCCCATAATAAGGTTAAGCAGCTAGGAATGTAGGCATATTTGCATTTCAGAAACATTCTGGCCTAGATAGAATACAAGGACATCAACCCAGCAAAAGAACAGAACTAACAGTTTTTTTTGTGTGTGAGACAGGGTCTCGCTCTGTCATCCAGGCCAGAGTCAGTGGCACAATCCCGGCTCAATGCAACCTCTGCCTCCTGGGCTCAGGCAATTGTCCAGCCTAAGACTCCCAAGTAGCTGAGATTACCGGCGTGCACCATTGTGCCTGTCTAATTTTTATATTTTTGTGGAGATGGAGTTTCACCATGTTGCCTAGGCTGGTCTTGAACTTCTCCGCCTGACCAGTCAAGCCACCTAGGCCTCCCAAAGTGCTGGGATTACAGGCATGAGCCACCATACCAGGTCCCAAAATCTTTTCTCATGACAACTGCTGTCACATAGACTTTACTATCAGAAAAGAAAAGACTACCTTCATCCTTTGGATTTCAGCTTAGGTGTCATTTCTTTTATGAAGACTTTTAGGATGACTGTCCTTTCGTTTGTATGAACTACTAGACCATGAGCTCTTTATGGACTTAGTCTTGTTTTTTTTTTTTTTTTACACTTTTTAAAAATTTTACTTAAATTTTCGGGATACACGTGCAGAACCTGCAGGTTTGTTACAATTTTGGCTCCAATCTCTACCAGTAAGGAGAGTCCATAGTAGACACTCATTTTGTGAGTAATCAGAGTAGCGCACATATGAGACCCTCTGAGACATTCTGTGTTTTGAAAAGAAGAGCTGCACTTCACACTAGGATTTCCACAATGCCTTAGTTATGGGGTGTGGCTGAGCATGCTCACAGGCTTTTTGTCATGTCATTAAGAGAGTTGGACAGTATGGTAGATGTAGGACAGTGTGCATATTATTATTCAAAAAAAAGGACCAAAACCTGCACAATACTTGAAAGCTTTTTCAACTTTCTGATCTATTCTGCCAGCATGCGAGAAGCATCCCCCCAAAATATTGTATGTAATTTGGTGCCTTAGGAACATACTTTGGCAACATATTTAATGTAACTGAAAGGAAAGCAGTTTTCAGAGACAGATGGCCTGGTTCCAAACCCTAGTTCTCCTACTTAATTAGAGTATGCCTATGGGCAACTTATTAAAGTTTCCTATTCTTACGTTTCTTGATCTTCAAATGAGTATAAAATATTATTTATCTCATGGGGTCGCTGTAAGGATTAAGTAAGCTGGAACATGTGAAGCACTTAGAACAGTTTTTAGCATAGAATTGGTAATCAATAAATGTCTGATTTTTCACTTGAATGACAGAGTATTTTTATATATATACATTTTTATTACACTTTAGGTTCTAGGGTACATGTGCACAATGTGCAGGCTTGTTACATATGTATACATGTGCCATGTTGGTGTGCTGCACCCATTAACTCGTCATTTACATTAGGTATATCTCCTAATGCTATCCCTCCCCACTCCTCCCACCCCACAACAGGCCCCGGTGTGTAATGTTCCCCATTCCTGTGTCCAAGTGTTCTCATTGTCAAAATGACAGAGTATTTTTTGGTTAGGTAAGGAAATATTGCTTTTTCTCTCTTACCTATCCTGCATGATAACACAGTTGTAGTAAAATAGATAATAACTTTTTCAGCTTCTAGCACTAAAATTTGCAACTATTTTTTATTCTTTTATATGCATCTCGTAAGTTGCTTATTGTTTATTTCTGTCTAATACAGGGCAGTCTACAAAATGTAGAATTGAATTTTGACTGATAAGTGACAATACTAGAAAGTCTTTCTTCTCTACACTTAGGTAGAAAATATGCAACATTTTAAGAAGTGTTTGAAGCAGTTTTCAAAGAACATTTCTGGAAAAGTCTGCATATATGTATCTATGATTATCTTTTCTTAACTTTATTGGATATATTTTTTGAAGCATAATGCTGATCAAATGACACTTCAGAAAACATACTAATTTGCAATGCCATGGACTGATTAAAAAGGCAGCCACTTCATCTTTTTCTGGGATGTGCTGTCTTTTATAATTTTTTAAATGTCTATTAATATGTAAATGGTGACTTTTATATAGATCTTTACTTTTTCAACTTCTAGCAAGGTTTGTTAATTTTAAGTTTATAGAAATGACCTAAATCGCCAAACATTAGATAATTTATGAATACAACTATGTGTAAACATTGGTGATTTATTAAATCATGGTAAATGACAACAAAATCTGTTAGTATGGCAACTGTGTTAAAAATAACTTTCATGCACTATTAAAGATAATTATGCACATAATTATTGTGTAAATAGCAGCCAGGTGCCATGGCTCATGCCTGCAATCCCAGTACTTTGGAAGGCCGAGATAGGCGGATCACCTGAGGTCAGGAGTTCGAGACCAGCCTGGCCAACTTGGTGAAACCTTATCTCTACTAAAAATACCAAAATTAGCTGGCCACAGTGGCAGACACCTGTAATCCCAGCTACTCGGGAGGCTGAGGCAGGAGAATCACTTGAACCTGGGAGGCAGAGGTTGCAGTGAGCCAAGATCATGCCATTGCACTCCAACCTGGGTGACAGAGCGAGACTGCATCTCAAAAAAAAGTAATAATACTAATTATTATTGTGTAAATAATTATTATATAATTTTAAAAATATGAATACATAACATTGTTATAGACAGTTATGTACATATATGTAAAGTATCAGTTTTAAAATTATTCAAAAAGGTGGATGAATAAAAACAGATTTTATTTTCATATAAAACAATCATTAGGAAATAGTCATAAAATAGTAAAAATAAGAAAAACAGGCTGATACAACTAATTCTATCAACCATTATATATACAATTATGTGAAACACAATTGAGTTCCTTGCTATACTTTTTTAAACAAGAGAGTTACACAGCACAGATGTGTTGGTAATCCCAGTTAATGTGTTATCTTTGAACATATTCAGATAAATAACGGCTAGGCACTTAAGCAATTATAATTTTAAAACAGAGTGAGAAACAAAATTTTAAAGTTAGCATGTGGCCCGGGGTGCAGTGGCTCACACTTGTAATCCCAGCACTTTGGGAGGCCAAGGTGGGCAGATCACCTGAAGTCAGAAGTTCGAGACCAGCCTGAGCAACATGGTGAAACCCCATCTCTACTAAAAATACAAAACTTAGCTGGGCTTAGTGGCGGGCGCCTGTAATCCCAACTACTTGGGGGGCTGAGGCAGGAGAATCGCTTGAACTTGAGAGGCAGAGGTTGCAGTGAGCTGAGACTGAGCCATTGCACTACAGCCTGGGCGACAGAGGGAGATACCGTCTCAAAAGAAATAAAAAAAAGTTAGCAAGTGATAATATTTAATGAAATAATTGTTATACTTAAACTATTTCTTTTTTTTTTTTTTTTGAGACAGAGTCTCGCTCTGTCTCCCAGGCTGGAGTGCAGTGGCGCTGTCTCAGCTCACTGTAACCTCTGCCTTCCAGGTTCAAGTGATTCTCATGCCTCAGCCTCCGAAGTAGCTGGGACTACAAGTGCCTGCCACCGAGCTCGGCTAATTTTTTTGTATTTTTAGTACAGACCGAGTTACACTATCTTGGCCAGGCTGGTCTTGAACTCCTGACCTCGTGATCCACCCACCTGGGCCTCCCACAGCACTGGGATTACAGGCTTGAGCCACCACGCCAGGCTAATTAAAATATTTCTTTGAATAACCTGTGTTAAGTCAACTTTCTTGCATCTCATTCCAAACTTGTCTGTTGAGCTTTGAGCCCTCAGGTGTGGTTTTCAATACTTTATAAACCTAATCAGCCAATTTACCCCTTTCCATGCAATCTAATCAATCTCAGGAAGTGAGTGTGGTCTTTCGTGGGCCCATACCCTTTAAAGGGATGCTTGTCCAGAGATTTCTGTCTCCTTCAGTGAGGACCCACTGGAATCGTGGCTGCTGGGCTTTGGAGCACCAGGAGTTACTTCTAATCTGGATATCTACAGAGCTTCTAGACTGAGACCATTCACAATAGCCTTGTGAGTATAAAATTTGCAGTAAACCCATCATGCTCACCTTTTCTCTTCAAAACACTTTAAATTTACCTGGCAGCATGCTTGGGTCTTTTCTAAGCAAACAAGTAACTGTCTTAGTGATTTTACAGAAAATCAATATAAAGTATGTTCAATTTGTAACATAGGGTTTGTGTTCCCTTGCTATTTGATTGTTTTTATGTGACTATATTCTGTATTATTAGATTTTTTAGATGTGAAAAGATATATTTCCATAGTTTCGTGAAATGATAGAACCCATAAAATACCTAAAATGTACACTAGAATGTGGGCCTGTAGTAATGGTTATAATGTACACCAAAGTAAATGTTAAAAATGTTGAATTACTTTGAAAATTCTTGTTGCAAACGTCTATTTGCTATCTCTTCAAAATTTGCAGTTTGTAGACTAGATTTGAAAGCTGTTGAAAATAGATTTAATCGGCTGGGCACAATGGCTCATGTTTGCAGCCTAGCACTTTGAGAGACCGAGGCAGGCAGATCGCTTGAGGTCTAGAGTTAGAAACCAGCCTGGCCAACATGGTGAAACCCCGTCTCTACTAAAAATACAAAAAAAATTATCCTGGCGTGGTGGCGGGTGCCTGTAATACCAACTATTCGGGAGGTTGCGGCAGGAGAATTGCTTGAACCTGGGAGGCTGAGGTTGCAGTAAGTTGAGATCACGCCACTGCACTCCAGCTTGGGTGACAGAGCGAGACCGCGTCTCAACAACAGAAAAAAAAATTAAAAATAATAGATCTTATTTACGTTTAATGTATTGAACAGAAGAGTTTGATATTAAAGTTAAAGGGACAAATTTAATGATTGATAATTTTAGGAGTTGACAGTCCACTCTGATTAATCAATCTTAGATAAAACCTACTTCATTTATAATTGTCTGAGCAAACTTTATAGGTGAGTTTGGAGGCAGGGAGTATAGAATAATAGCATAGATACTAAGTGTCTTTCATATATTATCATCATGGAATCATCAAAAGAGATAGAATGACAGAGACAGGACGAGATTCAGAATGTGCTTCTTCGTTAATCAGCTTATGTAAGTGACTCAGAAATCATCCCAGCTTTTACCCTCTGCCTAGGCTTTAAGCTTGTCTAAGTAACTGGGAATGATTGAGAGCATGACTTGTTTAACAAAATGTTTAATAAAATACCATGAGGTATTTTATTCTCATCTCATTTTCTTATTTGAATCACAGTTGGTTGTTCATATCCATAAATTTCATACCCATGGATTCAACTAATCTCAGATAAAAAATATTTACAGGAAGAAAAAAGCAGCTGTACTGAACATGTACTTTTGACAGAGTCTCACTCTATTACCCATGCTGGAGTGCAGTGGCGTGAGCTCGGCTCACTGCAACCTCTGCCTCCTGGGTTCAAGTGATTCTCCTGCTTCAGTCTCCCAGATAGCTGGGACTACAGGCACGTGCCACCATGCCTGGCTAATTTTTTTTTTAATTTTTAGTAGAAACAGGGTTTCACCGTGTTATTCAGGATGGTCTCGATCTCCTGACCTTGTGATCCGTCCGCCTTGGCCTCCCAAAGTGCTGGGATTACAGGCGTGAGTGACCGCGCCCTGCCAATCATGTACATATTTTTAACAAGCTTCTTGCTGTTCCTAAACAGTATGGCATTACAAGTATTTATACAGCATTTACATTGTATTAGGCATTCAAAGTAATCAAGACATAAAGTATTCAGGAGGATAGTTTTAGATTACATGCAAATCCCATACCATTTACTAATAAGAGACTTGAACATCTTAGAAGCTCAGTATCTAAGGGAGTCCTGGACCCAATCTTCAATGGCTATTGAGGGAAAACTTTATAAATCCAGCATGTTTGCATTTACTATGTCTCAGTTTGTACTGGAGCTAACTTATTAGACATATTGGACATAGCTCAAGTAGACAAGGAAAATTGTCCACCGGCTTTTTTTTCCTTTTCATTGGGGCAAATAAAAATAAGAGAAAGAAATTCTCACTTTTTTTTTTAAATTTTCTGAAACATGGATTCAGACACCCCGCAAGCCTTCCAGAATGAGCTCATGTGCTCTATTTGCATGAACTACTTCATAGACCCGGTCACCATTGACTGGACACAGCTTTTGCTGGCCCTGCCTCCGCCTCTGCTGGGAAGAAGGCAGAGCACCAATGCACTGCCCTGAGTGCAGAGAAATCTCAGAGAAGCCCGACTTCAACACCAATGTGGCACTCAAAAAGCTGGCTTTCCTAGCCAGACAGACCAGACCTCAGAATATCAACAGCTCAGACAATATCTGTGTGCTCCACGAGGAGACTAAGGAGCTCTTCTGTGAGGCTGATAAGAGATTGCTCTGTGGGCCCTGCTCTAAGTCACCAGAGCACATGGCTCACAGCCACAGCCCAATAGGATGGGCTGCTCAGGAATGCAGGGTACATGATGCCTCTAAGGCAGTTTGAATTGTGTAGAATCCCAAATAAGAATGATGAGGGCCTGTGATAATGATGGTGATGAGAATGCAGATGGTGGAAGTGGTGATTATTCCATGTCAATCATAACACATAAATGTGTCCTTTCAATGTTGCTGACTAATTTGACATTCTAATCATAGCTGTGTTGAGACTTCACTAAAGGAGGTTTGCACCAAGAACACTTTTCAAAGTCTGGTTATATAAAAGCCAGTTTCTCAGAAAATTGATGATATTATCTGAAGGGTCCCTTAAAACTCTCTATGTTTCTATCACTTTTCACATCCAAATTATTAGAACCAAATTTGTTTAACATGGAAAAATCTGACCACTCCACTCTAACTTAAATTTATGTTTCTTTCAATAACAGCCTTTTTTATTGATAAGGGGATGAAATCTACTATACTGTCTTCATTATTGCTAAGCTTCTTGCCTCTTTTGCAGGAGAAACTTATAAAGGAAATGGACTATTTATGGAAAATCAATCAAGAGACACAAAACAATCTAAATCAGGAAACTAGCAAATTTCATTCATTAGTGGTAAGAATGAAAATGTTTCCTTTGTTTTTATGCCAATAAACACAATGTTGGCTTACACTTTTTGGCTAAATTCAAACTACCAGTTAAAAGATAGTGATTTCATCCCAAGAAAATGTAGTGATTTCAATTGATATAATAGGAATTGCAAACAGAGAAGTCCACACAAGCTAGCCAAATTAATTCTAGTATATTGGATAAACGGCATGATATGTATTCTAGTTCAAATTTGAAGGTTGGTATAAACCTTATCAGACACTGCAGGTGAGACAACATTTCACTAAGATTGAGTGTGAGGAAGATGAAAGAAATAGAATAGTATATAGAGTAAAAATATAGTAAAAGTAAAAAACAACTGCATAATATGGTGTATGGCTAAATGTTTTTTAACATTTAGGCAAATCAGACATGAAAAATCCTAAAACAGAGATTAATAGAGGAAATAATTGACTCAATAAGAACTGTGAAGAAGCATCACAGTGAGAGAAACTAGAAGTCTTTATACAGGTTTTGATTTAAAAAGGGAGAGAGAATAGGAGCATTGAAAAAATAGGAAAAAATAGAAAAATATAGCAAATATTCAAGACTCTTTGAAAGAGTGAGGCACAAAGTTTATAAATTGCTTGATTACACCCAGCATATAATTATTTGAAGTTTTCTGTTGAGAGTGAGAACATGTAATCCTTTTAACCAAATGTCTCTGCAGGACTATGTGTCATTAAGGAAGGTGATAATCAATATTCAATATCAAAAGATGCGTCTATTTTTCGATAAGTAGGAGCAACTGCATCTGCAGGAACTGGAAAGAGAAGCAAAAGAGCTTTTCCAACAACTACAAGACAGTCAAGTGAGAATGACCCAACATTTAGAAAGGATGAAAGACATGTACAGAGAGCTGTGGGAGACGTGCCACATGCCTGACGTGGAGCTGCTCCAGGTGAGGAGGGAGGGTCCATCCCCAAAGAAAGGAAGCCTTTGCTGGACAATGCTGCCAGGACATGCAAATGTCACCTTCATATGTCACTGCTCTAAGCTAAGTGACACATGCTGTCTGACTTCCACCATTGCATTTGTCCAGTCACTTATTACTGCATACCTTGGTAGTCTCTGGGAAATTTTTGCCATTTTAGTAGATAACATATAACAAAGTTCTCTTCAATATAATTTGGAGTACTATCCACACAGAGAGATCATCTAAAATCATTAGAACTCTAGGCAAGGGGAAGGTTAGTAATACTCCATGTATATGCCCTAGTTCCTCTTCACTCTCTGATGTCCCATACAACAGTGATTTGCTGAAGACATTGAGAGTCTTCCCTGGCCTGGGCAAGGTTTGTAAAAGCTGCTCATCAATGTCCATGTACTCTGTTTCTCATATGGTTCTCTGCTTTGTTTTAATAGTTGTCATGTGTGGTCAGAACTTTCTTTGGAAATAAGATTAGGAAATTAATGACACTGGAAACCTAGATATCTTTGCTTTACTCCACCGTCTCTTGCTGAGCTCCTTTCTTCTTATGAAAACGATGAAGCTTTTCATTGTTAAGTTGAGGTTCTGTTATTAACATAGACATGAATGATTCCTTAGACGGGAATAAAAAGATATACATTATTAAAACACTAAAACAGAAAGAAACAAGAGTGTGAGAAAAGATGCAGAAGGAAAAGTCTCATAATTAAGAGTATCTTTTTTTTTTGCAGGATGTGGGAAATGTATCAGCAAGGTGAGTTTACATTAAAAAATGCTATTTCTGAAAAGTTTGTTCTCTTGCGAATGAAGGGGATGTACACATGTTGAGGTACTAACATCATTCTCAGTGGCTATTTCTGATTTTGTTTCAAAAGAGGGCCTGAGGTCTTCTTTTCTCTGGTCTGGAAAGTTTTCATCTTAAAATTTGTATGAATTCAAATATACGTAAAAACAATTTGCCATTCTGAAGTTTGTTCTCCCAATCCATCCATCCTGTCCAGCCCTACCCCACAGATCTTAATACAAAATTACTCTGAGGAATCATAGAGGTGTCTTCTACTCTAGAGGGGTGGGAGGTTAAAAAAAAAAAAGACAGAGGGAGGACAGAGATTCCCTAAGGATAGGCTGAGGAGGGAGGTTTTGTTCCTAAAAGCATCAATGACCCGGGCCTGCTCCATCACCATACACCCAGTACTAGGAAAGACCTCAGGAAAATGGTTGCCTCAGGACCCTCAGCAGCAGGGTTCTCAGGCTGGAATTAGACTCCTTTGTTTTGCACAAAAGATTAAAGCCTTTTGTCTCAGTGAACATTCTCTGTTAGACACTGACTAGCATTAGTGGCAACGGCCGGCTGAGGTCCCAAAGGTTTTTATCTGAGTTTTCTGCTCTCTGAAATATTTCCAGAATTTCTGCATACCCTCAGGGAGTGTGATGGGCAGAGGCAGCCCATGACTTTTAATGACTTCAGAAGTTGTATAATGTCTGAGAATAACATATCTGGACACACTGATTTTTACGCCAGTAAAATTTAGAAAAAGTAACATCCTTATGGCCCCTAGAGTGTGGAATAAAATGTACACCCAGTTAACCAAAACTGGCAGAATTCTGAGGAAACATCTTCTATGAAAATATGATATCTTTGTATGACTGTGTGACTAGCTCTGGGCCTGGAAATATCACTGAGGCCATTTTTTGCAGGAGTGATTTGGCACAGATGCAAAAGCCCCAGCCAGTGAACCCAGAGCTCATTTCATGGTGCATAACTGGAGTCCTAGACATGCTCAACAACTTCAGAGGTAAGAGCCAGCTGCTTGGCAGTCCAGCCTCCAATTATTTCCTTATTGGGTCCCTTGGCTCAGGATTTTCCCATTTAAGTTTTATTGTTTTTGACATGTAGGTAACACATACTTTTCCAAAATATGTGCATCTTCTCTACCTGCGTAGTAATATTACAATGATCAAAACTCAATTTCCTGACTTACAGCTTGATGAAAATGTAAAGCAAGATACATAGTTTATCTGCAGAATAAGAAGACAAAGAATATTCATATCATGTAGTTATGAAGACACTAGTTCTCCTGGTGGCATCAGTATTTCGTGTTTATTCAATTTAATTCAATTTTGAAGGTTTAGATTTGGCATAATGGTTTTTAATTGTTTCTATACTATGTGCATTTACATGCATTCTACAAGTAATCTTTATTATTTACAAAATCAGAACATTTTGATCAACAAATAAAATGACTAAAATATCCATAATCAGGACAATTCTAATGCCATCAGATACATATCGTAACAACTGAAAGGTGAGGGATCTGTGAACATGGCTTAACCATGTTAGGCCCATTCTAGAGAGCAGGTCTAGGTAGCAGAGGGCAGGAACCCAGAGTAGATTGAATCAGGGACTAAACAGATAATGTAAAGCCAGAGTATTTTTTTCAGAAACTTAAAAACTTTACGTGTGTTAATTTCTACCAAATTTTTGATGTTTGTGTCCATAACAGGCATAACATACATTCCAATACTCATATCATAGCAAATTGATGTCTACCTGTTGATGATCTTAAAGACAAATAACACAAGAAGAGTTTTCTATTGAAGAAAAAAAACCATTTTAGATATGTCCTGAAACAAACTATGCAGATGTAGACATTAAGGAATAATATATAATTGTTTGTGCTGTAGAGTTGTAATAACATTTTATCTTCATGGATGCATGGGTCTGAACTCTCTTGGCTTCCTTTTTTCTGTATTTTGTTGGAAGAAGAGCAAATGAAGTGAATAATTGGGCCACAGAGCCTCTGTCCCTCATAACACTCACTAATATAATATTTTTTCCTTGTCAGTGGATAACGCTCTGAGCACGGAAATGACTTCTTGCTATATGAGCCTTTCTGAGGATGTGAGACATGTGATATTTGTAGATGACCGTCGCAGTGCACCCATGGATCCCCACGGAGTGGAGAGCTTTGCTGTGTGGGGAGCGCAAGCATTCACCTCCTGCAGGCATTACTGGGAAGTGGATGTGACCCACTCCTCCAACTGGATTCTGGGAGTCTGTTCAGATTCCAGGACAGCAGATACCAATATCGCTATTGATTCTGATGAAACACTTTTTTAAATTTCCTCAAAGAGGAGCAATCACTATAGTCTCTCCACCAACTCTCCACCTTTAATTCAGTATGTACAAAGGTCTCTGGGTCGGGTTGGGGTGTCTCTGGATTATGATAATGGATCTGTGAGTTTTTTTGATATTTCTAAAGGTTCTCCTATCTATGGTTTTCCTCCTTCCTCCTTCTCTTCCCCTCTGAGGCCTTTCTTTTGCTTTGGTTGTACATGAAAATTTGGTTTCATGATGATTTATTGTGACATCCCATATATGAGGCAAATAGTGTCCTAAGACCCTATGTGTGAGAGCCTGTGAGCTCATTGTAACTTCGTGGAATGTAATTACTTTATGGTTATAAATTGGATAACCAACTTGAATGTGTACATTTGTTAATTAAGTTATTTTAATTAGTAAATTATTGTGGAATCTTTACTAGAACATCAATAATGGCTTTTTTTGTACAAGTTTTGTTGAGATTCATTCACTTACCATGAAAGTCACGTTCTAATGTATTTAATTCAGAGATTGTTAGCATATCACACTTGTGTAGCCATCAGAACTCTCTACTGCCTGTGCACTTTTATCACTTCCAGAAGAATCCCAATACCCATTAACATTTATTCTCCATTCACCCTCCCCCATTCCTTCAGAACACATAATCTACTTTTTAGGTTTTTGCATTCAGATAAACAAAATCATACAATATACGTTTTGTTTAATCTGATTTCTTTTTCAGAGAGTAGGTTTTCATACTCTCTGTGTGTACACACTATAAACCATTTGTCTTACTTGTATATTTGAACCAGGCTGGGGTAGAAAAATGAAGTAGTGGATACCTTATCTTATAAAGAATAAAGAAGAGTGCTTATTTTCTTTTTAAGTCTGACCAAGTTAAGTTGACCTCACAGACTTTATTATTTCTCAACATCTTAGTTATTAATCACATTTCAGCTCATACAACAGTTTTTCAGTGCTGGGTTGCTCTGCTATAACATCTTCTCTGAGTATATTATATCAGATTATAATATTCAGAAAACTCTTATACTTATTACTACCAGATTGAAAATTCCAAGGAAGCAATGGCAGTATTTGTCTTCTTTGCTAAGATATTACCATTATCCAGTGAAATTTTTAGAATAGATTACACAATAAATAAGATGAATAAATGGATAAGTAGAGGAGTTAATACGTATAAATATTATTCTAACGTTAAGAAACTTTTCCAAAATATAAGTAACAAAATAGGATAGAACATACTAATGAATATCTATCAAAAGATAAGAAATAAATTGATTTTCAGATTCATATCAAAGATAATACTATTATGTTAGGGTTTAAAATAATTGTAGCATAATTTTTATAGGGTTGATTTCAATTGTCTTAGGTTTTTTAATATAAACCATTGAAAGAGGAAGTTTCCTATATAAGATGATGGGGAACAGGAAAAGGACTTAAAACAATGGAGACTGTCCTTATTTAAACTGACATATAAATTTAATTATTTACTAAGCATAAAGTGGTATAAACCTTCTTATGCAGTAGAAAGAACAAAATTAGTCTACATTTTAAATAAGAATCCAGATGATACAGAATGGAAAATTCTATAATAGAACGTTAATAGCTATGTCTCCTAGGGCACCGGCTTACCTGCTCTAACAAAGACCACAAATTTGAAATGATTCAGAAGGTGCATTGCTCTCACATGTTTGTACCAATATAGGAGTTGTCAAGAAGATTGACATCCTCAACAAGTGAATTTTATCTCTGTGTGCAGAAAACTGCCATTTATTGCCACGTCCCATGCAGCAGGAAAGCCAAAAGAAAAGTAGGAGGGACAAGAGTATTTGGCTTTAAGGAAATCACCTGGTATTTTTCACAATGCAGTTATTCCCGTCCTATAGGTTCAAAATTAGGCAGATGGCACACCAAGTTGTAAGATATATCTGGGAATGCTGTTTACACTCAAAACCATATCCATTCTTATTATTTGATTCAGAAAATAAATTAAATGACTGGCACAACTGAAAATAACCCAAGAGATTTGAGCTGAACCTCAACCAAATAGACAAGTTGCTGCCTAAGGTTAGCACCAGATCTTAGTATTCAAGAGTGAGTAAACCCTGCTTTTTACCACTGTCAAGGTGTCCAGTGTTGTCCTTTTTAGAGCCTGGCTAAGCTGAGGGTTATGTGGCAAGAAACATCTTACTTGTATTTTAGTCTCTTAAATGAATGATTTATATAGGAATGATTCTTCAAATTTTGAAAATACTTATCAGAAATGTTCTTATTCCTTCGCTCTATACCACGTAGACTCTATAATAAACTGTCTCTCTTCTGCCTCCACATATTTCATGCAGAACATTAGGGGTTAGCAGAGAGAAAGCTTATCACCAGCTTCTTTTGGACTCGCTGCCTTTTTCCAAGTGATCTGAGATGATAAAATTATTCACCTTAGGGCTCCAACCCAGCACTCCTTTTTGATTTTCACCTATGTTTTGTAAGCTTTTCTGTTGATGCTAAAACTCTATGCAACATAAAACTGTATGCAACAGTCAGTGCCTCATAATTTAATTACATTATTTGTTCCTAGTTTTCAAGGAAAAATTTATTCCTGACATTCTTCTAATTTAGCTCAGATTCACTTTTGCAGAAAGACAGAATTAGCTACTTTACGATTATTTACTATTTAACTCTGATTTTGGAAGATGAAAAAGTTTTTGTGTCTATTTAGCATACTTTCTTAGCTATTTAACCAAGATAATCTTATTCTATTGATTCTCCTAGAGATACTTAATTTATTTATTCTCTTCACCTGTCAGAATTTATGTTAGAATATCACCAAGAATTACTTACAATTGAAATAAATCAAAGAGGGACCACTAAGAACATTGTCAATCATTAATCCAGAAATCTTGAACTTCCTGAGTTTTCTATCCCTAAAAGAAGTTATTTATCAATAGCCTTGTTACAGATTTTTTAATACAATAATTTTGACTTTTCTATAGTACAAAAAGTAAAAATTGATAAAGAGGATAACTTGGAAAAAATTAATATAACAACACTGAGACACATTCTTGACTAGCACTCTATTTCTGTACTAAATTTAGGAGGCATGTAAATGGCACGTTTCCTAAGTGAAATAAGACAGACACACAGAGAAAAATCCTTCATGGTTCCACTCATATTTGAAATCTATTTTTAAAAGTTCAATACATTAAAAAAGGTGGTTACATTGGTGGGAAGGAAATAGGTAAATGAAGGGCAAAAGTTGTAAAGGCGTAGTAGAATAAGTGAATCTGATGTACAACCTGTAGGCATATTTGATAATGTATTGTTTTTGGGAAATATTCTGAGGGACTAGATTTTTGGTGTTCTTATCATAAAAAAGAAGCACAGCTAAGTGATATGATAGATTTGTTAATTTTCTTCATTATAGTAATCATTTCATTATGTATATGTGTCTCAAAACAACATACTTTGCACCTTGAAAATATAAAATAAAATAAATTTAAAAATAAAGGTAATTTTGTTCTTCCATGTCAGCTGAAAATAAGTGAAGACTGGGTCAGTAATAACATTGCTTTGCTGAATTCAGAGAATTCTAATAAAATATTTTTAGTTGGGAAGCTATCTGTATTAAAAAAAATGATCTAAGGCTGGTAACAGTGGCCATACTTATAATCCCAGTGCTTTGGGAGGCCAAGGCAGAAAAATCACTTGAGGCCAGGAGTTTGAGATCAGCCTGGGCAACATAGTAAGACCTTATCTCTACCAAAAATAAAAAGAAAATTAGCCTTGAGTGGTGGTGTGCACCTGTTGTCCCAGCTACTCAGGAGGCTGAGTTGGGAGGATTGCTTGAGACCAGCTGGGAGTTTGAGACTGCAGTGAGTTCTGATTGTGCTATTGCACTCCAGCCTGGGTGACAGAGTGAGAACTTGTCTCAAAAACAGCAACTAATTATTTTGCATAGCCATTTTACCTGAAAGGTATAATTATTTCTTCTACAATTAATAAATCTGCATATGTCTAGGCCAGCTATATCAGGTAGAGCTTGTCCTCTAGTACTTACATCTATAAAACAAATAAGACAGTTATAAGGAGGCTCTAAGAAAAACAATTTTTTCTCATTCTGGACTTTGAGGTCTTAATTCTTTAAACTAATTTTCTGTCTCAATAGTGGATATCACCCTGAAACTTAATTTGTCCAAACACCTCACATAATCTGAAATTTTACAAAACATAAAGTTCATAGGATCAATACATTCTTGTGCCTTAAGTCTCCAGGCATTCAAGGATACTATTATGTGGAAACTCAGGCCTTCTACTGCATTATTGAAGGAGCACATTTGAGACTCACAGCACTTGTTGCTGTTAACAGGTCTGGACAATGAGTGATGTCAGTCCAGATAATTCTGAGGAAGGCTTTCTGCCTTGTTATAAGGAGGATAATCACTGGAGACTCTAGACAAGTTCCCAGTCATCATTCCAGCGTTTAGTTGCTGTTTTTGTAATCTCAGCATTTTTGGAGGCCAAGGCAGGTGGATCACTTTAGGTCAAGAGTTCAAGACTGGCCTGTTCAACATGGTAAAACTTTGTCTTTACCTAAAATACAAAAATTAGCGGGGCATGGTGGTGCACACCTGCAATCCCAGCTACTATGGAGGCTGAGGCAGGATAATCACTTGAACCAAGGAGGCAAAGATAGCAGTGAACCGAGATCATGCCACTGCACTCTAGCCTCGGTGACAGACTGAGACTCTGTCTCAATAAATAAATAAATAAATAAAATCACCTCTTGCATGGAGGGTGAATAAGGAGTATAACATGAGGACGTGTGAGGAAAATATGCATTAGAAGGGAAGGAGAACATACTTAACATGCCAGTGGAAGGTGAAATTCTAAATTATCTGAGAATATTTTTGAGAACTTTGTTTAATTCTCAGTGTAGAAAGATGTACCCTTTGAATGACATTAAAAATTCACTAGAAGAGTGAATAGTTAAAATGTCACATAAGTAACAAGAGTCTCAAAACAAAAAGTGTTCTAAAAGTTTAAAGTCCGTATTTGAGATAGAGGAGAGAATAAATAATAGTTCATTAATTAGTCTTTATTATGTGAAAAGACTTTTCTAAAATTCTTCCATAATAATTGAAGATATAAATTACAATAATTAAAATTTACAAAAGAATAAAAGCATTAAAATAAAGTGTGAAAAATTTAAAAAGGGTAAAGATGAAAATTATTTAATTTTTAATCTCAAAAATCCGAAAGTGATTTTATCAATGTCCTAAGAAAATTAAAATGAAAACAAACTTAATAATGTAAAGAAAGGAGGTTTCTGCCGGGCTGGGGGCGGGAGCTACGGCTTCTCTGGGGACGCGGAAGCGAGAAGCAGGGACCTTGGGGCGCGCCCGGTTTTCCGGGACGGTGCCCCGGCCCCCAGCCCACGCCTCCGGCCGCTGGCATGGTGCTGCTGGCTGGGACCCGGCCG
The DNA here is from genome assembly GCF_000001405.40 of Homo sapiens. Classification (NCBI taxonomy): domain Eukaryota; kingdom Metazoa; phylum Chordata; class Mammalia; order Primates; family Hominidae; genus Homo; species Homo sapiens. The sequence continues at coordinate 313,609 of NW_025791760.1, read as the reverse complement.
CAGGGTGGCTGGGAGCGCTGCATGACCCCGCCACCGCCGTCCCCACTCCTAGGCGCACAGGTCGAGGAGGACCGCGCTGACTACAAAGAGTTCCAGGGCCCCACACCTGCAGCATAGCCTGGGACGACTCTGTACCCTTTCCAGGACGAGGAGGAGCACGGCGTCGAGGGCTTGGAGAGCGTCCCGGAGGAGGGCGTCCAGGAGGCATGGGGCTGCTGCGGACGCTGGTGCGGCGAGGGGTGAGCGTTGAGAAGGCGCAGGAGACTGACCACAATGGCTGGACCAGCCTTAATGTCGCCTGCTACCACGGCTTTGTGGATATACCGTGGTGGCCTTAGCTGAGTAACCCCACACTGACGTCAACTGGCAGGACAGGGAGGGGAACGCAGCCCTAAATACAGCTGCACAGGCAGGAGCTGCCTCTGGCCCCATGGGCACCGTTGCCTTGGACACTGGCTCTCAGCCTTGTGCTTCCTGGTCAGCATCACGTGGGCTGGTTCATTTGAGCTTTAACACAGATCTGGTGGAAACACAGGCTGCCAGGCCCTGCCCCTGGAGTCTTTCTTTGAATAGGCCTGGGGTGGGGCCCAAGAATGAGCAGAAGAACAGGTTTCCTGGTGAGGCTGATGCCGCTGGCCCAGGGTTCTCACGTTGAGGACCGAGAGCTTTGAGGTTTTCATACCTGATGATGTCCAGGAACCCTTCTCAGTAGGCACTGAAGACCATCAGCAGAATCACAGACCCCAGGAGAGATGTCGTCAGACAGACACAGAGGCATCACCGAATTAAAGTGAAAATGAAGAAAGGAGCTGAGCATCTGTTTCATGACTTTCGTGGCTGTTTTACTAAAGAGGCTATCCTGGCCCAGTCAGGGCACGCTATCATCACCAACTACTTGTTGAACTACGTTCAGGGTCTTGATCTTGAAGGAGGGACGCGTTCGGGTTGAAAGCCGCCATGCAGGGTCGAACGGATCGCATCGGAGCCCTGAGCTAGCAGGGGCGGGTGTCCACGCGAGGGCCCCCGCCGTGGGATGTCGCCAGAGGAGTGGCCACTTATACGTCCGCCTCATGCAGAGGCTCCTGGAGCGCCCCTGCCGGGAGCTGTTGGGGAAAAAGTACCAGCTTGAGCTGCCGCCGCTCCCCGAGAGGCCGCAAAAGCCCGAGGGCTCCAAGAACTGCCTGCAGAGGCTCAGGGACTGCGAGCTGTCCGCGCTGACGCCGCGCTCCATGCGGGGCCCAGAGGACCGGGGCGCCCTGGACCACATGGTCAGGATGACCACGAGCCTCTAACAGCCCCGCCGGGGCCCTCGCGTGCCAGACTATGTGCCCCGAGAGCACCTTGTGCTGGGGGAAGAGGCGGCTGGCGGTGCAGGAAATCCTGGCGGCGCAGGAAATTCCGGCGGCGCGGCGAGGGGTGGGGGGAGGCAGGCGCAGGAGGCGGGCGAAGAGGAGGGCGCAGAGTAGCATAAGCCGCTCGGCCTAGCGGCCGCTGGCTCCACAAAGGCCTCCCCAAGAGCCGGCCTCCCACCTGCCCGGCTGCCGGGGTCCTGGGGCTCCGCCGCCCCCGCCCCGCGGACGGCCAGCCTCCTGCCCCTGCAGTGCCTGCAGCAGAGCAGCTTGGGGCCCAGCGTGGTGGTGCCCAGGTCCGCCTCAGCAAGGTGCCCGCGCCCACCTTCCAACCCAAAAGGCCGGCGCGGAAGGGCAGCATAAAGGCAGCGGCCACCTGCGGATACCCAAGTGGCCTTACAAGGTGGCCAAGGAGGAGAAACGGGAGGCGGAGGAGGCCGAGAAGAGGCGCCAGGCCAAGGTGCAGGAGAAGCGCCCGCCGCCCTGGAAGAAGAGGACGTGAGAGTCCGCGGGTGCTTGGCACGGGGTTTGAGGGCTGGGTGAGGCCGCGGGGCTGGGCACCATGGCAGCTCTCGGGACCACCGGGCAGCGCGCGTTTCCACGCTGTCTCTCTAGGATGCTCCCAGAAAGGGGCTGGGGGAGCCACATCGATTCGCTTCACACCAGCCACCCTAGCAATCAGTACACCTAGGGGGCATGTTCCCTAAAAGGCTCCCTTTAGAGAACCTCAATTAAGATTTTTTTAAAGATTAATTTATTAGGCCAGGCGCGGTGGCTCACGCCTGTAATCCCAGCACTTTGGGAGGCCGAGGCGGGCGGATCACCTGAGGTTAGGAGTTTGAGACTAGCCTGACCAACATGGAGAAACCCCATCTCTACTAAAAATACAAAATTAGCCGGGCGTGGTGGCACATGCCTGTAATCCCAACTACTCGGGAGGCTGAGGCAGGAGAATCGCTTGAACCCTGGAGGCAGAGGTGGCAGGGAGCCAAGATGGCGCCATTGCACTTCAGCCTAGGCAACAAGAGCCAAACTCCGTCTCAATTAAAAAAAAAATCAATTTATTAAAGGATATTTTCTGTGTAATTTTGTATTTTTAATTGTTGTCCAATTTGCCAAGTTTTACAAGTGATAGGGTCCCTTGTATCCAAGGAAGTTTTTATACACTTACCTGAAGACCTTTTATTTAAAACACTGTTTCCAGCAATAAATATTTATGATATCTGTAGGACTTTACACAGAAATCATGGGATTCTCTCCTTTTTGGGCTGTTTGCTTTGGTCTTCTCATCATGGGTGGATGTTTTTATTAATTAGATTAAGTGATGCCGGATATTTCTATTTGATGGAGGGATTGACTGGTTCAGCCACATGATCAAGTGAGACAGAGAGATCAGATTTTATTGTATCTTTTTAAAAAGTATTATCCAATACAGTCATATATTGAGGAAAAACATTTATCGTCAAATTATAAAACAATGCAGAGATAGGCATGTCTGTATTGCTAGAATTAAACTCATTTTAAGCAAGGAGTTTTAGATAAACTGTATACAAAAATCTTTAACATATTAAAATAGACATGAGAAAAATGTGTCATTTGATAAAATGGGGGAAATGTAATAAATGATTACCAGAAATATAAAATTAAGCCGTATATGCTCTTAAGTAAATCGAATCTAGGCATCCTTAAAATGTAAAAAAGGATGCAACAAGAGTAAGGAGCCCAGAATGATGTAAATTACAGGAATGGGGTGTAATGTAACCTCTAGAGGAGGTGATGTTTAGAAGAAGCAAAGAGAATGCAATGAGAAGCAAACTTGTTTTAGGCAAATTCTCCTGGAGTGGACCAGGCAGCCCCCTCTTCCAGACTCAGTTCCAGAGATTCCCTTATGTGGGTATTTGTTTTATTATTCCTTTGAGGACTGCATTTGGTGTTTAGTTCATCCTCATGTGGACCCTATGGAATTTCCAAGATGCGGGGCCTTAGCACTGTGGCACCTTCCTGCCACACGTACATAATTCACAGCATTACCAAGTCACCACAAGCCCCACGCTCACCTCTGTCAGCCCAGGACCCAGCCAGGCAGTGCCACGTGGTCTCCCAGGCTCGCTTCTCCAAGCCGAACTGCGAAAGTTATTGAGGCACTGGCCCAGGGAACTGAGCCTTGGGCCTGTCCTAAAGCTCCATAGGTGACTGCACTGCAGCCCACATGGAGAGCTGCAGCTCTAACACAGGGATTTTGAGAGGCCTCAGTGCCATTTAAGTGGCACTTCCAGGACACCCATCCTGAGCTCCCACAAAGGGCGCCACCTTCCCAAGAACGTCTAATTGTCATTGGAACAGCCAGTGTCAGGCAGCTTCTGCTCAGGCTGATGTGGCGTCTGACCCTTGGTGGGTTGCCAGACATTCCTTCCTGTTTCTGCCATGGGAAGTTGGCACTGGGAATGGTATGGAGCCCCCACTTCTACCCTGAGCCTTGGGTGTCTGCTGCTTCCAGGTGAAAAATGGACATTTCTGATACTGCCCAGCCACTACGGCACCACAACCCATGCTCATAGTCTCCAGGGATGTGTAGAACGGCAATGGCAGGACAGCAAACAACTGGCGATTTCCCCAGGTCCCACGCTCTTGCGGAGTGAGTATGTTGGGTCCCTGTCCCCAGTGTGTTCCAGCCTTACCCAGGTGCACAGAGTACCCTGGGGCCAGCACAGGGCTTGTCCAGTGATGCTCCTGGTGTTCACAAAATGGCTCCAGAGATACCTGCATTTTGAAAAGCCTGCCGAGCCAGCAAGTGTAGGGCAGGACCCGGATTTCTTTGGCAAATCTGAAGGTGAGAGGGCCACTTGCCTGCTGAGTAGAAGCTGCCTTTACCTGGCCAGTGTATGCAACTTGAGAGAAAATGACAGCTGCATGGGGCGCTCTGGTGGGACTGGGAAGTCTGATCTTCCGGGGAGCTGTAGATAGTGAATTTCAAGTTGACAGCTACCTTCTCAGGGATTTATATATAAATATAGTTAGAGGAAAAGCTAAAATCTATTTTACTAGTTTTTAGTGTTTGTGTAAAGTAAGCTTAAACTGGACAGAATAAACATTTCTCAGACAATGTTGATGCTACTGATTACAAGTTAGATGGCTGGAGCTTGCCCCTTGGTGGAGAATTTCTCGGTGATTGGAGACTGGGGACTCTGGCAGCAGAAGTGGCTTTATGGTGGGTGTGAAGTTGCTTCTGCCCCTCTGAGTGGCCTCTCATGGATGTGAATGCGTGTATTGACACCAGTGAAATCCACCTCCGTGTGCGTGGAGGTGGCTGATGAGAACACAAGTGAGCCAGTCCTGGTTCTTCCCTCCAGAACCGGTCACTCCCAGTCTGACGTTGGAGCATGTGAACTAAGAGTGACATTTTTTTCTACTTGCTTCTGTGAATAAAGTGTTCTACAGTCAGCCAGCACTAAACACCAGAAAGGAGGAGGGAACAGCGTGGAGCAATTCATCTGGAATTACCTCGGTGTGCAGAGGCTGTCCCTTGGCTCCACTTGGGATAAACATTGTGAAACATCGTGGGCCTCTTTCTTCTCAAGCTCCTCCTGACAGCCTCCTGGCAACACTAGAGGCCTCAAGACTATGGAGATCAGAATTGCAATGGCTTTGTCATCTCAGCATTGACCACTCCTGAGACCCAAGGTTCCTCCTGGGAGCAGGAGACAAGGAGTTTGTGATGTTGGATGGAAAATAGGATATATGAATGCAGAAGGGCTGTGCTGGACCCCTCTTTTCGCTTCTCTCCCTGCTGTCAGCAGTGTCTCTGGCATGGAGGCGAATCTGTTGTGGGTGAAACAGAAGCCCCTGGGGTAGGACCAGACCCCAGGCCTGAAAAGGATGCAAAGCCTGCTGTTTCAGGCTGTCAGGAAGAATCGTGGGTACCGAGTGATTATGATGAAATGCAACCCAGAGAGGAAATGAATGGGCCCTCACTAAGAAGTGGGTCTGACATGTCTCTGGCAGCCCACCGGCAAGAGCACGACATGCCCTGCAGCCCCACCATCCACACTACATGATGTGGGAGGGCTGTCTGTTCATTCTTACACTGGGGACCCAAGCCTGCTCTGAGGAGTGAGTCACAGCCCTGACGTGCGCCTTGCATTACTGTTTCCTGAGATGTGCCCGGAGACTCAAGCTTGCTCATTTCTGTCCTGACACAGCTCACTGTTCCTTAGGTGGTCATAGTCCTCCCGTGCTGTGTCAGCTCCTACATAGCATTAGTCTTTCACGTGATAAAGTGCAAGCACTTTTCCATTTTACAGTATTTGGGGAAATTCTAACACACTCCCCAGGGATTTGTGCATGTCCTTCTGCCTCCCCGGTGGGTCATTCTGTGGATTCCGCACCTGGCAGTCGGTCTTCCCCCTTGGAAGCCCCTAGGATCCCTGTTTCTACGGGCCTGGTCCTTGGTTTCTACCCCAGTCCCTTTTGGCCGGCACCTGCCTGGAACTGCCTGGAGCGCCATGGTATGGGGAAGGACAGGTGGAACCCTGACCACAACAGATCCTTCTAAAACAACAGTCACATTGATGATGATGAGTGCAGTGGGGTGAATGTCGTCACAGCATGCATGCTGGGAGCTGCCAAGGGCTTACAACAAAAGCAGTTCTTCCTAAGGCACCCTTTGCATCTTCCCATCCACGCCTCTCAGTGCATTTGGAACTTGCTTATGCATTGGAATAACTTGAGTCAGCTGCTCGTTTCTGTGCCTCTGCACTCACAGGTTCCTTCATTAACATTTTAAATAAGTGGTTAAAAACTCCTCTGGAGGTTGTTTTTGAAAGAAACAGGGAAAAGAAAAACACACACTACCTGAATTGATTTGAGTAATTTTCCAGTGACTCAGTTGAAACTCAGTGTTGCATACATAATTTCCTCATGCTGAGCCAGCCTGAAATAAGACTTGATAAGAGGCACAGCCCTAAGTAGCAGGCAGTGCCACTGTGGACAGTGTACACTATGGTGTGAGTGTGTGCACAGGCGAGCCTAAGTGTGTGTACTCATACACACAGATAAACCGAAAGGACACTGGGCTTTGTGCTGGCAAAGGCTGTGATGCTGCTGTGGCTTTCTATGGGCCCTGGGGAGTGTCAGATGGGAAGTGCTTTGATGGCATGTTGTTCAGTGTATTTAATGGGGTCTCCCATGGCCCGAGGACCCACTGTGAGCACTCCACCCACTGTGGCGCAGAACACGGCTGGAGTCATCATAGCCCAGGTCTTTATTGAAAGGGAGTGTTGACCCAGAAGCCTCATATAGAAACCATTTGGCAAGGTCTGGACCATCTCTCTGCAACTGACCTGCCTTGGCCGCACAGAGGGACCCAAACCCAAAAGGCCCAGACCCAAGGGAGACTGAATCACATTTACCATTACACCAGCTTTCATTTATTTGTTTCCATATGATCATAGGGACTGTATTACTAAGTATGCTTATAAATGCTATTTACAGACTGTTCCCTTTTATAAGGTGAAAGATTAATAAAGAACAAAAAATTGCCTGTAGAAAACCATGCCTGAGGCCAGGAGCAGTGGCTCATGCCTGTAATCCCAGCACTTTGGGAGACCAAGACAAGCAGATCACCCAAGGTCAGGAGTTCAAGACCAGCCTGGCCAACTTGGAGAAACCCCAGCTCTACAAAAATACAAAAAAAAAAAAAAAATTAGCTGGCATGATGGTGGGTGCATGTTATTCCAGCTACTTGGGTGGCTGAGAGAGGAGAATCGCTTGAACCTGGGAGGCAGAGGTTGCAGTGAGCCGAGATGGCACCATTGCGCTCCATCCTGGGGGACTGAGCAAGACTCCACAGAAAAATAAATAAATAAATAAATAAAAACAAAAAAAAAATAATAAATAAATAAAAATAAAGAGAAAGGAAAGAAAGGAAAGAAAAAAAAGAAAGCAAAGAAAGAAAGACCATGCCTGAAGGGCACTGTGTGCTCATCACTTCAGCAGGTTGACACTCACCTGGAGGTGGTGGAATCTGTCCATTAGTCCAGTGGATGGGTTGAGCACGGATCTCTGAGCTCACACACTGGGGCATGTGCCACTGCTCTGACTCACTCCTTTAAAGAGGAAAATACAATTGCGCTTTCTAATACCAACTATTTCATCACAGGATTTAAAAACAAATAATCATTCAATGGAAATTCACCTTTAAAACCCTTTCCTGATATAGCAATGTATCTCCACATTCATGAGATAGGATTGAGCCATTTGTAGGGAATCTTTCTTATATTCTTTTCTTACTTCACTCACCTACCACCTGGGAAAAAACTAGTTCATGCACCTAAACATTTTTATGACTTGAAATCCACAATCATAAACAGCTGTGCTTCAAAAACTGCTGTATTGAGTCTGGAAGCACACTTATTCAATAGCCACAGGGAGGAAAAAGGTTAATTTTTCATAAAGGAGAACAGGAAATTATAGCCAGTTGAACCCATATGTATGCATATGCCAACAATTGAGTTTCCATAAGTTGTGTCTTCATTTTGTTAGAAATGGCTTGATCCACTTAATAGCTCTCATGCTACCCCAGTTTGCATTGAGACCAAACTTACTTGGTCAATATGTCTCCCAAATCCTGCAAAGAAAACAAGAAAAGCTTCAGAAATGGGCTACTCTTCCAACCCAACCTTTAGGTTTGGTAAAGTATAGAATAGTGCCATCCCTGAAATGCTTTGTAAATTCCTTTTCCTTTTCATTTCCAAAGTTGATCCCAGTACAACATATTTACAGGATGGCTTTAAACTCTTGATGAATTCAAAGCCCTGGTGGTGAATAGAGGAAAGGAAATGTGTGGCCATGCATTGCTGCAATCAACTGCCTACAAAGTGGACTTTCCCAGGGCTTGTTTCTAAAGGATAATATGTTATAAATTAAGAACAAACAGGAGGAAGAAATAAGTGTTTTTCTTCCCCAAATTCTCCATTTCGCTAAATTGGAGACAAAAATGGGATAGTCACAAATAAGTTAATTTTTTTCTGTTTTTGAAAAGCAAGCTACAAAAGAAGTTTACTAGAGGGTAATATTCTCTGTGGCCAATTTTGATAAATGGGAATAGAAAATTATATCCACTTAAAAATTCCACAAGCTTGCTTGTTCATGGTTAGGAAAAGAATTACATTTTGTCTATGTTATTTCTATTTGGAAAAGATCCTCCATCTTAGCAGCAGGAGCTAAATATTTTATATATATATATATATATATATATATATATATATATATGCATACACACATATACATATATATATATATATATATATATATATATGCATACACACATATACATATATATACACACACACATCTATGGTGTTGAATAAATAATATCACCTAAGCCAGTGGTGTGCAATCTTTTGGCTTCCCTGGGCCTCATTAGAAAAAAGCATTGTCTTGGGCCACACATGAAATACACTAACATTAACTATAGCTGAAGAGCTTTAATAAAATGACAAACAAAAATCTCATCATGTTTCAAGAAAGTTTAGGAATTTGTGTCGGGCCATGTTCAAAGCCATCCTTGGCCATGTGTGGCCCAAAGACCATGGGTTGGACAAGCTTGTTGTAAGGTATGAACTTCAAATAATATAAAAATTTTTTAGGCATGTTATTGGTTCTTTCCTGGAGCAGCTCCACATCTAGATCATGGCACATTTTCATCAGCTCCTTATAGATTTTTCTTAGGTGTTTTTTTTTTTCTGAACCATTTTGCGTTTTTGCTTTTCTTAAGTTGCTGTAAAATCTTTCTGTCATCCTCTGTAAGTTTCTCTATATGTTGTTTTACTTCTCATAGGGAACTGAATGCAGCTTCCTCTACTCAGCTCTGGTCATCTCTGCCCATAGCTGCACATAGCACTGCAGGGACCTGGATTTCCTAGATGACATATTTATTCTGACTTCATCCTCCTCCTCTTACACATCCTTTATTCACTTTAACTCAGGTTCTCTTTTCTTTATCTCTTTCATCTTTTCTTCATAATAAAGTTAGGGGTCTCACTATGTTGATGGCCAGGCTGGTTTGAAACTCCTGGTCTCAAGTGATTCTCCTGCTTCGGTCTCCCAAATTATACGGATTATGGACTTGAGACACCAAGCCTAGACTGACTCATGTATTCTACCAATAAGCTATGTACATAAATTTGTGTCTTCCTACTTCTCAGAACCATGAAATCAATCATTCCTCCCTTTCTTTCATTTATCTTTATTGTTTCTTAACAATACTAGAAGTCAAATTCATTCTTTTCTCATACCACTTTTATTCATTATATGACTTCCTGAAACACCTGAAGAAAGGTTATTATTGATCATTTCTTCAATATATACCCTTTGATATTGAAAAACCTACATGAGAGCCATTGGAATTAATGGTTGATTCACAGATAATTGTTTGCAGTATTATGATCTCTGTGTTTTTAAATTAGTCTTTAGTACCAAGTCTCCCTACTGCATAGCCTGACCACTCTCTCTGAGCAGTAATCAATGCTGCATTGTACCCTCAGGATTGGAAGCCATGAGAAAAAATCTTCCTCAAATCCTAACCAACACGATTTCCATTCAAGTGATAAGTGGATACATTTCTAGCATGTCTGTCTGAGGTTGAATCTGAGGGAAAAGGCCTAATACTTACAATCCACTGGCTGGGTTTCCTGCTTTTCTCACTTAAATTTCTTTGGTTTTCTTGAATTTTTGCCCATAAAGATCTCATTTGCTTCATGATCTTCTCCTGTAAAAGAACTATGAATGTGAACATCAGAGAAGCAAATCGTTTTGGGTTTCAGACCCCCAGTGATAAAGAAATCAACTGATGAGATATGAAAGATTTGGGAAGATCTCAGACTGTAGAACCACAACATGTAATGCAACAAGTTTATAGGAAAATCATAAGCAGGGCTAATTTATAGATAATGTGGCATCTTGCAGCAGAATTGGAATCTACTGACACCATGCCTTGCTAATTCTAGCATATTTTATTCTATTATTTCCAGTGTTGGTACATAGGTTTCTTATATAGAAGCCTTTTGAACTTGTAGTTTGGATAGCCAGAAACTCTTCCTGATATTGAGCTCTTTACAGTGCCTTGAACATTACACTAAATAGTCAAATTATTATAATGATTATTAACTTCATCACTCCTTCAGTGAAATGTAAGTTCAAGGAAGGAAGGTATTCTCACAGATTCCACTGAAATTTTTATCATTGATACCTAGGCACTACATGACATCCAGTACAGAACAGACTAATCATCATGCTCTTCAACTTCCCCCTAATCTCTTTACTTGTGCCATCCTCCAGCTTTCAAAGTGCTCTCAGAGCCATCACTTACCCAGTGTTCCTTAGCTGCCCCTCACAGTGTCTGTGATCCTGGTGCTCCTGAGTGTCCCAGAACAGCAAATGAAGCAGGCTCTTGTCCACCTCTTCAAATATCTTTTTGTCTCCCTGTGGGTTCCACACATTTGTTCATTAGAGCTCAGGAATTGCCAGAGACTGGTTTTCCTGGTAATGCACACTAGATTCTTCAGAAGAATATTGGTTTTGATGTCCTCCTGCTGTGATGGTTCCCTGAATGTGGGCAGCAGGTAGGAATTTTGGCTTCTTCCCAGGAAAGGCAGAGACAGGGTCTACAGAAGCTGGGGACACAGCCTGTGGTGATGGGATCTACGAGTTAGTTCAGACAGAAGAGACAGATGGGCTCTTTCTGGAAGGCTTGTGTGATCTCTGAGACCATTTTCCTGAAGGAAGGAAATTAGGAAAGGTATCATTCAAACTTCTTCATCTTATGCCCTGGAGAAACACAGACCAAAGCAAAATTTGACTCAGGTTGTAACTCAATGATAAACTTCTGTCTAGAGTAGAATAAGCTTTATTTTGTATAAGACAAAAATAGAACCTGAGGTACAAAGAGAGCTCTCAGATCTGTAGGTAAAATTGTTGGGTTCATGCATAACTCACAGGGCACTACATACTACCCTTTTCTTTTGCATAGAAGAATGAACCTCAGAGAGGCCAGGTGTGGTGACTTACACCTGTAATCCCAGCACTTTGGGATACCAAGGCTGGTAGATCAGGTTGGAGACGACCCTGGCCAATATGGGGAATCCCCGTCTCTGCTAAAAATGCAAAAATCAGTCAGGAGTGGTGGCACATGCCTATAATCCCAGCCACTCAGGAGACTGGGCAGGAGAATCGCTTGAACCCTGATGTTGCCGTTAGCTGAGATTGAGCCAATTCTCTTCAGCCTGAGCAATAAAGCAAGACCTATAAAAGAAAGAAAAAGAAAGAATGGAAGGAAGGAAGGAGGGCAGGAGGGAAGGAAGGAGAGAAAGAGAGGAAAGAAGGAAAGAAAGAAAGAGAAAGAAAAGAAAGAAAGAAAGAAGAAAACAAAAGAATCCTCAGTTTTGTTGAATTTTGACTTTACTCCAAAAAGCTTGAGGTTTAAGGGGATGAAATTAGGACCAATTTATACCATTAGATGATGGGTCCTGAATACTCTGAAAACCATTCTTAATGCTCGTTGTGATTGGTTTAGAAAAGATTGATTTTGTACAAAAGAATAAAAAAGTGATTAGTTTAGGAAATGGTATTTAACTGAGATTTTTCTCCCATTGTTTCATTTAGATATCATAATTTTCTCCTTTAAAGTATTTTGAAGAATCTCAATCACAGTCCACCACTGCAAAATAATTTCTATATAACCATTATTTATTTACTGAACATTCTGAAATTTGATCAGATTTCACCCAGAAATGCTAAAGAGACATTTAGTATACTCTAAAACAATATTATCCTCAAATTAGTCAATGCATTACCTAAGTTGTATATTATAGAATATTCTGTCTTGCGCATATATTTGTGTGCCACCTTTATAACAGAGGGTATTACATTTATGCACAACATATAGAATAAAATATTCTCAATAAAATTTAGTATATACAGCAAGTATAAAATTGTAAAATATCTGAAAACTATTTTCTGTGTTCTTACAATACATAGGAACAACTAAGGAATGCATAAATGATACAACTAAAATTAATCTTCACTGTAGTTCACAAGTATGTAGGAAGACAGGATGACAAAGTAAGTGTAAAAACATTTTTACTAAGTAAGCAAATGACATCACTTATAGAAACAAGCTCAGTTTATTGAAAAATTAAACATAGCGCAGTCTGTTTTGGATTGGAAAAGTAGCAGGAACTCCTCCTCTGTTAGCTGTGTTCTCACCCTAGAAATATACTTATGGTCTCACTGATACTTGCAGTAGAAGTAATAATATAAAGTCTGATCAGGGATCAGGGCCTCACCATATAGTGATAGTAGCTTTCAGACATCTTCACAGCCAGTTCCGAAGCCACTCTGTGTGTCCCAGAGAAGAATGAGTTTGGCTCCTTGTACCTCTTTGTATTGAATCTCTGAAAAATCACAGCCCTTTTGAAAAGGTTGTATGTTTCTTGGAGTTTGGGATAGCCATTAGGGTTCTTGATTAGGTTTCACCAGAGGAGAAAAAATGATTGATTCGACACCTTGGCTAATTTCCATAAATAAACTTTAAACTTCCTCTCATCAAGAACCACTGAGTTTACAACAAAAGAACCCTCAAATACCAAATTTGTAGATAATTTTTGGGGTACTTTATTTTACTCATCAAAAGATGAGAAAGAGGATACCATCAATTTATGATTTTAATAAATGTCTTCAAAAGTCTGGAATATTTTTTCTCCTTTTTCTTTGTGTTTGTTTTTTGTCTTATGTTTTTGGAAATGTTTTGCCTGAAGTTGGCTTTAATTTTAATAGTCACTGAACTAGACTGGAAATGCACTTTGCTGTTGCTTTTAAAACTTGATTTCAGGTTTTAATGCATTACTGTCAATTTATGTATATATGTACATATTCTGGTTCTGTAGCCCAGGCTGGAGTGCAGTGGTACAATCACAGTTCATTGCAGCCTTAAACTGCTAGGCTCATTTTCTCAAAGAGCTAAAATTATGGACGTGAGCCACTGCACCCAGCCTGTTATTTTATGTTTTTAATAAAAGCATAAGAATTATCTGTATTATAAATTAAGAAATAGAATATCTTTAAGGAAATATAATATCTTTAAGGAAAAATAAAATCTCTAGTAATTATAGGCTCCTATGAAAACCACCTTTACCAATAGCAATTTTGTGTATATCCATATAACACATACATATATAAATATATATAATATATACATGAATTTT